>NW_014040928.1:0-205101 GCF_000001405.40 Homo sapiens | reverse complement strand
GAATTCTTTTTTTTCTTTTTTAAATTCTAGGGTATATGTGCAGGATGTGCAAGTTTGTTACATAGATAAACATGTGCCATGGTGGTTTGCTGCACCTATCAACCCATCACTTAGGTATTAAGCCCAGCATGCATTAGCTGTTCTTCTTGATGCTCTCTCTCCCCTAACCCCCTGCCCACACAGACCCCAGTGTGTATTGTTCCCCTCCCTGTGTTTATGTGTTCATATTGTTCAGCTCCCACTTATAAATGAAAACATGCTTTTCCATTTCTTTTTCTTGGTTATTGTTGCTTTCTAACTTCTTGAATGGAATGCTTAATGTTTGTTAATATAAGTATTTCAGGTTTTTTCCTATCAGCACTATCTTAGATGTAACCCAGTGATTCAGACATGTAGTGTTTTTGTTATTGTCATTTTCCATACTTCTGGTAAATTCAGATTTGATTTTCTTTTTCACCCAAAAGTTGTTTATGAGATAGTTAAAGGATTTCTAGGTAATATAATTTTTGTTTTCATATTATTTTCTAGTTTTATTGCTTTGCAATAACAATTATTATCGGTATAATTCCTATTTTTTAAAATTTACCATAATTTCCTTTGTGATTTAATATATGGTTAGTTTTTGTGAGGGTTCCATGAAGGCTTGAGAAAAAAATGTATTTTCCTGTTTTCAAGGTATGGAGTTTAATGTGTTACAATTTAATTTATTAATTTTGTAATTTAGGTTTTCTACTTTTTTACAAATGTTCTATTCACCTGCTTTCTCATGGACTGAGAGAAAAAAATCAAAATGTCATTCATTAATTTTTTTCATGATGTATGATTTTTAATTAAGTATAAAGACCTTTCTAACATGTTTACCTAGAGACCATTTCACCCACTGCTCTCTTCCGCCACGAGTCTCTTCTCTCTTTCTCTTCAGCAATGGTGAGGCAGATACCTTGTCCTCAGGCAAGACAAATCCATGATTTGTTGCTTGTGCCAATAACAAAAATGTTGGAGAGTCAGGTAGCAAAGCTGTTGCTGTTGGCATCTTTTACATGAACCACATCGAAAAATCCAGGATGTTTTTCTCTGTTGGTGATTGCACCAATCCTTCCCAGGTTAGCCCCTCCAGTCACCATACACAGGTTACCAGTGTTGAACCTGATGAAATCAGTAATCTTGCCAGTCTCCAAGTCAGTCTGAACGATGTCATTCACCTTGATGAGGGCCAGGGCAGCAGATGGTGCCAGCATCATGAGCTGCCAGATCAGGGATTTCTTTTGTGCTTACAAAGTTTCTTCTCACTTTGAATAACTTGGCCTCCTCGGGTGTAATAGGTGACCCCTGGTGTCACAGATCAGATGGAAATTCTCTCTGGTCTTGTTAATGCTGACATCTAAGGAACCAGTGGCATAGGTTATATCAGTCAAGACCTTGTCATCGATCTTAATGAACTGCTGCATGCGGATCTTCTTTGCTTCATCTCCTGTCAGTGCATACCTAAGTCTGTTCCTTAGGAAAATGATGACGGGGAGACTCTCAGCCTGTGGAGACTGGTGTATGGGTGGCAAGCAAACACACCGGTCAATGTATTCGGCATCCAATGCTTTGGGGCTCCTACCCACTTCAGATGCTTCTTGGCACCAAGAGCTGTGGCTGCACTGGGCAGGGAAAGAGGATCACCATCTTCCAGTGCACAGAGAAATTGTGGCCAATATATCATTTCAAAGAAAGTGGTCCTCTTTCTCCTGTTTTCTGACACTTTTACTTTATGAATGTTGATTCTAAGTTATTTGGTGCATAGGCATTCATAAGTGTGATATATTCATTGTGAACAGTCCCCTCTTTTATCATTTAAAAAAGTGCTCTGCTGTTATTATTTTTCTTCACCTGAACTCAACATTGATATTAAGATTACAAACAGCCCAGCTATTACTATTGAAATAAAAATTAAAGTCCGATTTTCAGTGAATGGACAAAATATTTATTTCCTGCTCATGCCAAACCCAGTGTGATCTCGGTTGCCTTGTTCCACCTGGTGGCTATGCCACTGGGAGAACATGACAGGGAAAGAGTCAAGTGGAGAGGCACACTGGTTCTTACCTGTCTCAGTGAGGAAATGCTAGTCAATTCTCTGCATAGTCTATTGGCTAGAATTAGTCATAAGTCTGCTTATTCCACAGGGAAGGCTGGAAAAGACAGGGAAGTCAATAAATATTTGGAAAGGACAAACTGTCTCTGCCACATCCCACTTTCTCTTTGTTAACATTACTTAGAATATCTTTTGTCTATGTTTGATGCATTTGCCTTTTTGGTATCTGTTTTGATTTTTGCTTTGTGCATCATAAAAAATCATATATTAGTTTTACCCATTTATATTTACTAGTATGACAGATATAATGGCATATTATTTTATGTAATGCTTTCTAATTTTTAGCCTTTTTCTTAGTCTATCATCTATGATTTTCTTGACTCTTGTAGATTTTTTTCTGATAAATTGGAATGTTTGTATTTTGTTCTAGTGCGTATATCTGCAATCAAAATGTTGCATAATACCCTTAGACTTCTGTTTCTTCAGAGTATCTGAAAATACATATTTCAACTTTACTTGTAATTCTCTACTATGAAAAATGATCTTCCCCTGCCAACTCCTAGTTTACTGTTTTATCTTCCTTAGTACTTACCTTTAAATATTTTATGCCTTTTTATTTCATTAGCTTTAATTTAGTTATTTTAACCTCCCAACTGCAAATGATGAGAGAGTGAGCAGACTTATATTTTTACATTCTCTTCTCTTTCCTCTGCAAATTATTTTAAATTTACATAATTTCTATTTTGTATAGTTGTTAGGATTTTTAACATTTACACTCTTCTCTGTTGCCATACTTCCTAGATTTGTTTTGATCTTGATTGTACAAACAAATAGGGTTAAGTTTCACTGCGAATCTTTTGGCTCTGCGTGAGTGTGTGTGTGTGTGTGTGTGTGTGTGTGTGTGTGTATCTCTTGGTTGGTCAAAGTTCAGGAGTTTAAAAAGGATGCTTGGTCAATCACAGCCAGTGAATGTTACACACATCTTGCTAGACTAGTCTAAAAATCATTGTGTAATTGTTGATTCTAATGACCTGAAAGGTGTTCAGTTTTTGGTTTTGGTTTTGTTTTGTTTTTGATTTCTTGGGGGCAGGTTTTGCTTGTTGCTCTTTTTTCTTTGAGGATTTTGGGGGAAAAAATTTATTTTTGGTTCCAAATAGAAAAACAAAACCTATTTTGATCTTTAGTGCAAATGAGGGCTAGGGACTTAGCCGCCACCACTTCCACATTGCTTCATTCTGTCATTTGCTCACTGCAGCATATGCAAGAATAAAGCAATATAGCTTACTGCATTTTTAATTGAAGGTCAGTCATGCTTTCTGTATTATATTGCATATGAAATTGTTTACAAAAGAAACACCGACTCATACTTCTCTTTATCGATCGCAAGTGGCACGCAGGGACAGAGGGCGAGTGGGGGGTTGGTGGGGGAGGGGATATATATATTTTTTTCTTAAATGTACTTCAGCAGCTAAGCTATCTTCCAAGGAAGGCAGGCAGTGGGTAGAGCAGAGGGACTGAGAGCACACTGAAGAGAGATGCTGGCGGGTTTCCCCACCCTCACCCCAAAGCAGAAACCTGGCAGATGTCAGCTCAGCCCCGTCCTGGGCACAGACACTACACAAGGAGATGCTGGAAGTTAAGCAATATTTTAATACTGTAGTATGTTTGTTTTCTTTTTCTTTCTTTTTTTTCCACCAAAAAAGTAAGTAAACTAAAACACAAAAACATATAAATAAAATCCACCCCTCTTGGGGTTGGGGGGCAACCTTAAACCAAACACATAGCTATCAAATAATCAGAATGTATTATCTCAGACAGGATTTCAGTTCTGGGAGGCAGGGGCCTGATGGGGCAGGGGGCTGGAGGCTGAAAAACAAAAATTCCAGAGCCTCCCTCGAAGGTTCTCTACTGCTGTATTCTGTACGTAATGTACCATCCCGTGTGGAATCTGTGAATGTCTTTTTAAGTAGCATGGGCTAGCCAATCTGCCGTTCATGGTGTATTGTAAACTCCAAATTCCATAGGTAATAGGATGCAAGTCTAAGCGTTTCCTCTGGACATAAATGTATCTAAATAAAACTTTCCCTAGCACTGTGGCTGACCTCACCGTTACTTTTATACTTTAGTATGAAACTGATGAGAACTTTGGTAGTGAGTTTTTTTTACTATGTATACATACATGTCTATCTATCTATCATCTATTTATCTATATACATACATACATACGTATGTATGTATGTATGTGTGTATCTATCTGTCTGTCTATCTATCTATCTATCTATCTATCTATCTATCTATCTATCTATCTATCTCAAGAATCTTTCAGGTCTGTGTGTGTGGCTTTCTTAAAGCCCTGTTGTACAAAATTACTATGTAGATGGCGGTCTCTCACATTACAGATGTGGAAAGTATAATTTTATATTTGTATTTTCAAATAAATAAGTTTGTGAAAGGTTAAAAAGAAAAAGGATGCTTGAGCTCTTGCATGTTCAAAATTGTTTTTCCATTGTCTTTATACATGAATGATAATTTGTCTGGGTATAAAGTTCTTGGTCAGCCTTTCTTTCCTTGAGAATCTGAAAATAGAGCTGTTGACTTCTGCTGTCACTGAATGTTACTGTGCAGAACTGTGAGGCCAGCCTATCTTTCCCTCATAGGTGATTTCCTCCAGGAAACTTACTTGATGTTGACTGTTCTGGGTCTGTTTTTCCTAGAACATGGCATGCCTTTTCAAGCTACAAAGTCTTCTTTTAGCTTGAAGTGATTTTTTGAAAATTCGAATTTAAAATAATTTGTTTCACTATTTTAGTTCTCTCCTTTGTAGTCTTTATTGGCTCACCTTCGCTTGTTTCCATATAAATCATTTTCCTTCAATTGTCTTAAACTTTTCTTTTTCATTTCATTTCTTTTTATTCATGTATCTTAATCCTGCCCTGTATGTTTCTTACTGTGTTTGTAGCAGGATCTGGGACAACCGGTGACATGTCTGGAGAAAAATAAAAACAAAACAAAATTATACCCTACTTCCATCCTATCACACATATCCAGCTGGATTACAATATTAAATGAGAAAAAAAAGAATTTTTTTTTTTTTTTTTGAGATGGAGTCTTGTTCTGTCGCCCAGGCTGGAGTGCAGTGGTGGGATCTCGGCTCACTGCAACTTCCGCCTCCCAGGTTCGAGTGATTCTCCTGCCTCAGCCTCCCAAGTAGCTGGGACTACGGGTGCATACTATCACGCCTGGCTAATTTTTGTATTTTCAGTAGAGACAGAGTTTTGCCATGTTGGCCAGGCTGGTCTCGAACTCCTGACCTCAAGTGATCCACCTATCTCAGCCTCCCAGAGTGCTGGGATTACAGGCATGAGCCATCATGCCCAGCTAAGAAATCTTAAAAGAAGCAGAAAACACACAGCTGATTTTTAAATTTGGTATTGGAGTAAGATAGGCTTTCCTAAGCACAAATGAAAAAGAACTGAACACTGAAAAATATTTGACTTTATGACAGTTTAAATTTATACATTAAATAAACAGTGGCGAAATTAAAAAACAAATAAACTGAAAATAAATGTTTAAAACTTATATGACTAATGGATATCATATCGTTAACATAAACGAAGTGCTAACCAGAAAGACGTACACCTAAATAGGAAAATTGGCAAAAGACGTAAGCAAGTAATTTATAAAAGAAAAAATATAAAAATCCCAAGAAACATATAAAAATACATATTTCAACTTTACTTGTAATCAAAGAAATATAAATTAAAACATTTTCTCCACCAAACTGGCAGAATAATTTAATATCCAATATTAATGAGGAAGAGAATGAACAATCAGCTTTTAGTCTGCTGGTGGGAATGTAACCCAGCACCTACCTGAAGGGCAACTTGGCAATGTATATCCAAATATTGAAAAATTTATATCGTTGGATCTAGTCATTTCACTTCTAGAAATTTATCCAAAAGAACTAATTAGAGATGTGTACAAAGATTTATATATATGGATGTTTTTTGTTGAAATATTTACATTTTCAAATTGGATTAATCTAAGTAACCCAAAATAGAACATTGGCTAAAATAATTTATGGTACATTAATATGATGAAATACTATGCAGAAATTTTTTAAAAAGTATTTTAAGAAACATTTAGCTATGTGAGAAAATGTTGATTAATGTGAAGTAGAAGTACATAATGAAACATTACATAAAATGTAACCTTAATTTTATAAGAAGATACTATTTATAACACTTATATGTACATATATTTACATTATATATGGAAGACTAAAAAAACCCAAAATCTTGTATATATGTATATATTTATCAATCATATATTATACATTTAACAATAAAATCTAAAAGAAATTTAAAATAAAATACACCCAAGTGTTAGACATTATTATAGTTGGGAATTAATTTAATTTTTTTCCTGAAAACCAAAAACTATAAAACGTTGCTGAGGGCATTTAATGAAGACTGGAATAAATGGAAAGATATATGATGTTGATGGGTTGGAAGATTCAATATGGTAAAAATAGCAATTCCCCCCAAATTGATTTTTAGATTCAATAAAATCCCAATCAATTTCCCAGCATGTTTGTGTGTGCATGTTTGTGTATGTGGAAGGAGAGAGGACAATTGGTGTAAAATTTATACAGAAGTGCAAACATCCAAGAATATTCAAGACTGTGTTAGAGAAGAAATGAAGTTGAAGATTTTACATAAGTAGATGTCAAGACTTATTATAAAGCTATAATAATTAAGCCAATGTAATGTTGATGAGAGGAGAGACATATTGGCCAGTGGAATAGACTAGAGTCCAGAAACAGATCCACACATATTTAGTCAGCTAGGGCCACTGGTAGGGTATGTAGGACCCTGGGAAAATATGTTCTGTAGGGCTCCTGACTATATAAATAATTTGATTAAAATGTATTACAAAATGTATGGGCCCAAATGAGACTTAAGAATTTTTGATGAAGAGTTAGAATAATGGGTTGAGTGGGTCTACTTCCCTGTTTGTTTATTATCCAATCAGTGCCTGTGAAGATTCTTCATAGGTCCAGACACTGTCTCTTCCTGTTCAGGGTCAGAAACCATCCATCTGTGATCATTATTGTGATCTCTTTGCGATCACTATTTTCAACTGTGCTATTCTTGGCTGATTTCAGATTTTCTACCACAAAGAAAAGATAGTGACTCTTTTTTTTTTGGACAGTCTCTCTGTTGCCCAGGCTGGACTACAGTGGAGCGATCTCGGCTCACTGTAAGCTCCGCCTCCCGGGTTCACACCATTCTCCTGCCTCAGCCTCCTGAGTAGCTGGGACTACAGGCGCCTGCAACCACGCCTGGCTAATTTTTTGTATTTTTAGTAGAGATGGGGTTTCACCGTGTTAGCCAGGATGGTCTCGATCTCTTGACCTTGTGATCCGCCCGCCTCGGCCTCCCTGTAATCCCTGGGATTACAGGCATGAGCCACTGAGTCTGGCTGATAGTGACTCTTAATATTCATAATACCAGGGTCTTCAGAAACTTCATTGAGACACAATAGATCTTCTTGCCTCTTCAGTTCTCCACTACCGTTTATTCAATGTTGGTTGCATCATCATTCATGATGCTGAATCATTCATGATGCTGAGTCATCCATCATGCTGCTCATGACTGTGGACTTCCAACGTCTCTCTCAAAGGTTATTTCTATGTTTCATTGAAGATTACCACAAATTCAGGTCTTATGCAGAATATGGAGGAAATTTTGTTGTCTAAACATGTTAAATTTACCATTCAGAATTTTATAGCTTAAATACGGAACAAAATATCTTCCAATCATGTCTTCTCTTGAACTCCATAAGCTGTAGTAATCAACATTGAAAATGATTAGTCTAGGAATCACTTTCAGTGTTGATTACAGCCTTGCCTTCCATACCCTGTCAGCAGGGAGGAGGGTTCCATGGGTAGAGCAAAAATAAAATCCTCATTCATGTAAAGAATGTCTGTCTATTATCTGGCATGGCTTAAGACCAACCTGGGAGAACATGACATCACCACATTGATCAGAGGCAAAAAAAAAAAAAAAAGAACATGAATCAATCGGAAGTGCCCATTTCCAGTGAGGAGCAGTAGTCCTGGAAGCCCTTGGAGGAGGTAGTTGAGACCACCCCATGGCGACTACCTGACATGTGGCAGGGAAGGGAAGGGGTGAGATGACCACCCTGGTACCACTGCCTGGAGCAGAGTAGAACATGCCTGCCACTGCCTCCACTGCTGCACAGGAGCAGCACCACCGTCCGATCATGGATGAGTGAGCCGACACAGGCCCACACAGGTGCAGCTTAAGACCAATTTAAGGTCAGCAGTGGACCAGGTGCTCCTCAGGGCATGTGATTGGATTCTTATATAGTGGTAGAGGGTCGAAGAATACCTCAAAAGGGAGAACGGGAACAAAGCACATGCAGGTCCCCATCCTGGCTCAGGGCACCCAGACAACACTGTCAGCCACAGGAGCCTAAGGAAAATGGAAGGAAAGCACTTCAAATGGAGGGTGGTGTGGTGGTTCCCTGAGGCATGTGGCCTGGGGCGGGGGTTCTCTTGCCTGTGTCTAAACGTGGTACTGCAGTCATCAAATTTACAAAAAAAAAAAAATGTGTTGTGTTGCAGGATATCCTAATTACCCTGATATAATCATTACACGCTGTATGCATATATCAAAATATAAAATGTACCCTATAAATATGTATAATTATTATATATCAGTGAAAAAAGTTAAAAATTAAAAAGAATAGAAAAGGAAAAATGTGTTGCAGTAATGCCATTGGGGAAAAGATTGGTCTTTCGAACAAATGCTGCTAGAGCAAATGTGTGTACATCTATAAATAAATGAAACTGGACTCCCTCTTCACTTCATTCACAGAAAATCGATTCCACGGGGATTACAGACCAAAATAAAAAGGGTAAAGCAAGAAGATATATTTAGGACCTGGGAGTAGGCAAAGCTTCTTAAAAAGTACCAACCAGAAAGAAAAAGATCGATTAAATAGACTTTATTAAAATTTAGATTGTTTTAATCAGAAAATATCATTAAAGGTGCAGAAAAGCAAGTAGATTTATAGACTTCTGCAACAAAACCTTGGTTTTAGAATATACAGAGAATTTTTATACATTAATTTGAAAAAAGTAGATAACCCAACAATCCAATAACAAAAGAGTAAGATTTTCCAATTGTCATTTTCCAAGAGAAGATATTTAGACTAATCAAGTATGTAAAAAGTGGTCAGTATTGTCATCAGGGAAATATTATTCATCAGTGAAATGCAAATTAGAACCGCAGTGAGAAACCACTATATATCTACCTGAAGGGCTAACTGAAAACAAATCACTGGTACTATAAAAGCTTGCTGAGCATGTCAAGCAACAGAAACCCTCATGCATTAGTAGTGGGAATGTGCACTGGTACAGCCTCTTTTGAAAGCTGTTTGACAGCATCTACTAATGTGTACCCAATGACCCAGCAATTCTACTCCTAGTGGAATACATGCTACAGCAATACACGTCCAAGAATGTTCAGTGCCACGGTATTAACACTAACCCTAAGCTAGAATCAACCCACATGTCCATCAGTGGTGGAATGGAAACATTGTGGAAGATTTATAACTATGGTAGACTACAAACAATGAAAAGAAAATGAACTACTACTACATGCTATCATATGGATAAACTCACAGATATAACGCTGTGTGAAATGGCCAGCCACAAAGGAGTACACAATGTATGATTTCATATATATAAAGTTCAAAAACAGGAAAAAATGTAATCTATGGTGAGAGAAGTCAGAATAATGCTTGCATGTTGGGAGTGTGACTGGGTGAGGGCACAAAGGAGACTTCCAGAATGCTGGTAATATTATGTATCTGTATCCTAATCTGGATGGTGGTCACATAGGTATAAACATTTTATAAAAATTGGTCAAGCTTCACATCCACATGTATGTTTATTGCAGCACTATTAACAATAGCAAAGACTTGGAACCAACCCAAGTGCCCATCAATGATAGACTGGATAAAGAAAATGTGGCACATATACACCATGGAATATTATGCGGGCATAAAAAAGAATGAGTTCATGTCCTTTGCAGGGACATGGATGAAGCTGGAAACCATCATTCTCAGCAAACTAACACAGGAACAGAAAACCAAACACCGCATGTTCTCACTCATAAGTGGGAGTTGAACGATGAGAACACATGCACAGAGGGAGGGGAACATCACACACTGGGGCCTGTCAGGGGGTGAGGGGCTAGGGGAGGGATAGCATTAGGAGAAATACCTGATGTAGATGACAGGTTGATGGGTGCAGCAAACCACTATGGCACTTAGTATACACCTTTTTAACAAACATGCACGTTCTGCACATGTATCCCAGAACTTAAAGTATAAAAAAAAATTGGTCAAGCTTAAGGTCTGTGCACTTTAACGTATATATAAAATGGTATCTATTTGTTATATCTGTGAAATAAGTTACAGAAAAATCAGCTTGGCCTCAGCAGAGCTACCCTTCGGAAATCTGAACAAATATTGTTCATGGGGCCTCTTTCTACATAAACTGCTTGAGTTATTCAAAATAATCTGGAGTCTCAAAAGGAAGAAAAAGGATCAGGGTCCACATGGGTTGCAGCCAGGATTTAGGGGGCCCCTGCTGGCCCCTGACACCAGATGAAGACTTGCAAAATTTGAAGGAAGGCGCTGCAAAGTGTGGGGACCCTCTGAGGGGCGCAGTTTGGGGCAAGGATCTACCACTGAGGTCTAAGAATAGCACTAGCCCTAGGATTTTAATTGTATAACCAACAGCCCAAAGACAGTGGAAAAGTGTCTACTGAGGTTTAAGATGGAAATGATATGACCTAAAAATTGCATATTACTATGTTCTTATTCTCATATGATGACTGTAGAAAAACATTGATATTTAATAATTCAAGAACTGTACCAGCCCTCTGCCCTTCTTAAAGGAATTGCTTAAAAATAGTCTCCATCCAACCTAGAGTTGAATCAGGTTCATGTAAAAAATATATATGTATATATATATATAAAATTAAACAAATGAAGTACAAATAATCAGAAAAGTTACAGCTGTATACTGCTTATGAGTTTTTCATAAATCAGAATATTTTAGAGATGTTTTTAGTATTTTTACTTAAAACATCAATATTTTCTAGAAAAACAACAGGATGGCAATATTAATTTTAGGAAAAACCAAAGAGGATTAAATGAAAGAAGAATTATTAATAAATAAAAATTCCACAAAGAAATATAGTAATCATTATCTTTCAGGTGAGTTTTATCTATACATATACAAAAGTTCTTGGCAGAAGGGAAACAGAAACACGATTGTCATGGTGGATTCCTGTCTTTATAATCTCATATAGAAAAACATAAGGACAAGAAGTTTGAATCATAGTATGAGGTTGGATTAGATTTATATTCAACTTTATATTGTTCAGTTAAAGTACTTTTTCAAGTTACCATGAAACACTTAGTAAAATTATTATATACTCAATCACAAAGAGAATCTCAACAAATTCTATAATGTAAAATTGAACTGGTCATATTCTATGACTGTAATATAATGAATTGAAAAATTAACAAAGTTTAAATAGTAATTCTTCTAATCCTTGTAAATATTTTTCAAAATTTCTAAACATATATGTCAATGAAAACGTCAAGTCCACAATAACAGACTTAAGAAAAAGTCTGTTATTAAGAAAAAGAATAACAAGTCCGGGTGCAGTGGCTCATGCCTGTAATCCCAGCACTTTGGGAGGCTGAGGAGGGTGGATCACAAGGTCAGGAGTTCAAGACCAGCCTGGCCAAGATGGTGAAA
The DNA here is from genome assembly GCF_000001405.40 of Homo sapiens. NCBI lineage: Eukaryota > Metazoa > Chordata > Mammalia > Primates > Hominidae > Homo > Homo sapiens. The sequence goes on along the minus strand of NW_014040928.1, from coordinate 193,156 downwards.
CCCCGTCTCTACTAAAAATACAAAAATTAGCTGGGCATGGTGGCAGATGCCTTTAACCCCAGCTACTTGGGAGGCTGACACAGAGAATTGCTTAAACCCGGGAGTCAGAGGTTGCAATGAGCTGAGATCACGCCGCTGCCCTCCAGCCTGGGTGACAGAGCAAGACTCCATCTCAAACAAAAAAAAAAAAAAAGAAAAAGAAAGAAAGAAAAAAAGTAACAATATTATATATCATATCTTCAGGATTAAGCCAATGCTCTACTGGAGAAAAAAACTCATAGCCTTAAGGGTTGTCATTATTAATGAAAATAAATGAACTAATCATTGAAGTCAAGAAGCTAGATATATAATAACAAAATACACTTTGGGAAAGAAATATGTAGTAATGATGCCAAAATCAGGAATTACTAAGTTTAAAAACAAATTTTAAAAACCTCATAGGATAAACGTAGAAGATGGTTCTGTGAAGAAAATAGCACTATGAAAAAACAAACAAAGGAACCTGACAAATTGATTTAACCATCATAAAAAAGGCATTAGAATTAAGAAAAAATATGTAACAGCAGATACGGAGGTCATAAAATTATGAGAATATTATGGAATATTCTTTGATGTTAAGTTGGAAAGATACATTGTTCAAGGAAAGTAAAAGGGGCCAAAATTGACACAATAATAAATAGACCAATAACCTTGGAAAAAAATCAAAATAATTCAAAAGACCTTATGCCAAATAATTTTCCAGGTAAACTTTCTTCAAACTTTCAAGAAACAGATAATTTCTATGCTATTCTACTTCAGAATATTACTGATCCTCAATTCATCTTATGAAACTTACATATCTCAAGAACAAATATTAAAAATTTGAAAGTTTAAGAATTACATTTGATTATAAATAAAAAGCTCAAATAAAATTTTAATGAACAAAATTAAACTCTAGTATTGTTCATCATATCCTTGAAATGCATTTTTAATATTAGAAAGTCTATTTATTCAATGAGTGAAATAAAAATTTTAAAAGATGTTATAACATATAACATGTACTTCTTTTTTTTTCTTTTGAGACAGAGTCTTGCTCTGTCGCCCAGGCTGGAGTGCAGTGGCGCGATCTCGGCTCACTGCAAGTTCCGCCTCCCGGGTTTACGCCATTCTCCGGCCTCAGCCTCCTGAGTAACAGGGACTACAGGCTCCCACCACCACGCCTGGCTAATTTTTTGTATTTTTAGTAGAGACGGGGTTTCACCGTGTTAGCCAGGATGGTCTCGATCTCCTGACCTCGTGATCCACCTGCCTCGGCCTCCCAAAGTGCTGGGATTACAGGCGTGAGCCACCGCACCCAGCCAACATGTACTTCTAAAAAAGCAAAACTCTTCAGAGACTTGGATTAAACTGATTCTTCCTCACGGTTAGGAATATTTATTCAAAACCTGTGTTTGCAAATGAACTGAATAAGAACCACTGTTTTAAATTTTTTTGTTTTGGCCTGTACAGTATTGGGAAAATGATTTGTTATAGACATTTTATAATTGGGAGATTTCATATAAAATCAGATATTGTCTCTTACATGCAAAAAAAAAAAAAGATGAGGGTTAGGATGTTAACAGTAAGCTAACATTTCATATGATATAATAGGCTTAAGCTGAGTATCTGCTGTGCAGCTCACATTAGAAGGAGCACTGTCCAGTTTGTCAGTCTCCACCAAGCTCTATTATCTTATAGCTGGCCTGCTTCATTTATTCCTGTTATCTATGCAACCCCCTGAGACATAGGTATTTATATATGTCTATTCCAATATTAAACTTAGTAACCAACATTATGTTTATTGGTGTAATATGTAAGAGGTTATTCTTATTCCTCTTGAGAACAAGTCAAAAATGCCATCTATGACCTTTACAAGGTAACTTTTTGTTATTTTTGTTAGAATCATGTTTTTGGAGACAGGATCACACTCTTGTTCAGGCTGAGTGCAATGGCACGTTCCGGGCTCACTGCAGTCTCCACCTCCTGAGCTCAAGCAATCCTCCTGCCTTAGCTCCCCCAAATAGCTAAGACTACAGGCGCACCACCACATTTGACTAATTTTTCTTGAATTTTTAGTAGAGACAAGGTCTCGCTATGTTGCCCAGGCTGGTCTCAAACTCTTGAGCTCAAGCGATCCTCCTGCCTCTGCATCTCAAAGTGCTGGGATTACAGGCGTGAACCACCTTACCTGGCCGGTTAGTTAACTTTTTGAAAGCTGTGGGCAATAGAAGAGACAAGAACCCTAAGAAAGGAGGTTTTATCACTGGAAAGAAAAAGGCGAAATACAATATTTTTAGCTGGTATGATGATATACCCTCCTTACACACACGCACTCAAACCTCCCCACCAGCTATAAGCTTGTTGTAAGTAATAGGATAGTTTAACAAATTGGCTGATTAGAAGATAAAGATCTCTAAAATTAGTAACCATTTTTCTTATATTCCAGCAATCTCTGATTAAACAATACAATGACAGGATGATTGTATATAGCAACAAAAATTTTAAAATACAATGAATATGCAGGAACAATATGAAAAAACTATAAAAGTTTATTGAGAGATATAAAAGAATACTTGGACAAATGGATATATATATCAAGTTCCTAAAAATCATAAAAATGTCAATTCTTTCCATTTAAATTTATGATTTTAATGTAATCCCAATGAAAATTCTAAAGAATTGTTTTCTAGAATAAAATTTTAAATGAAGTGCATCTGAGGTTGTAAGCAAGTAAGAATAGAGAAAAATTCTGAAAAAGCTGTTTAAAGTGGGAGAATCTTAAAAGTGTTTCAGAACCTTTTCCCTAATAATTCCATTTCTAGCAATGTATTTTAATAAAACAATAAGAAACATAAATAAAGGTTTATTTGTAAGATGCTCTTTACTACAATACTAATAATGTTGAAAAATTAGGTTCATTAAAAACATCCACCACAATGTGGAAATGGTTAAATAAACTATGGTTTGTCCATATGAGAGACTATTAGGCATTTATTAAATGTCATGCTTGTGAAGGATTTTTAAATGACATGTGATAAAGCTCATGATGTAATGCTATATGAAAAAAGAATATATAAAATTCTATGTTCAGCATGATTCCAGTCTAAAAATTCTTAAGGTGGTGGAATTACAGTTGATTTTGATTTTCAATGTTTTATGTATTTCTAAAGTTTATAAAATGAGAATGCATTTTATATTTAGAAAAGAATATAAGTTTTGTCTTTTTGAGAGAAAAATAGTTCTTACCAAGCAATGGCTTTAGTAGTGGGGTGATAATTTTGGACAAAGTCACAAAACACATTTCAGTGAAGGCTGCCTATATTCGCTTTTCCCTCTCCTTATGACCTTTTCTGTTGGTAGGTAATTTGTGTAACAGCTATTTAAGGAAGATAAGCATTAACCCACATTAGTTTTCATCAAACGGGGCCTTTCCTTTATTAGGCCAAATGAGAAAGTACTGTTTACATGTAATGCAAATCCCCTTGTCAATACATCTCCATATTCCTGTATGTAAGCTCCAACTTTTGTATTTTTAATAAGATCTTATCTCCCTCATAGTCTAGCAACTGTTGGATCATTTAGAGACCATCCTGTAGTGTTTATGACAGCACAGTTGGTTGCCATGGAAAGAACTGAGCTGTCCCCAATCTCATAACAAATATGGGTTTGAAGCTGTTGATTTGGCTAAATTCAGAACCTTTGTGAACCCTGGGGGGTCTGAGTTTCTAATTTTCTTAAACTGATGGAAGTTTATTTATTGTTGACCATATAAAACTCTGTTTTGTTTCTTGTTTCTTTCATTTTATTAATAAAAAAATTTTTTTAAAGACTGAAAGTTCTGCTTATATACCACACTATTCTATCACAATAAGTTTGGTGTGTTTTAAAACCATATGTATGGCTTGTTACACATACATACATACATACATACATATAAAAATATAGTTGTATTTTTTCATAAGATTTTATAAAAATCATGTATATGTACATCTACATACATATACTTCTCCATAAAATAAAAACAGGAAAACATAAAAATACTATTTCCCAGATTTATGTCTACAGTCTACTGGGAATATCAGTAAAATTCTTTATTTTGATAATTTCATGAAAGTGGAAAGGATCATATGTAGTGTGACTCCATAATTTATTGTTTAAACTTGGACATTATTGAGACTGGAAATCGCTAAGAATAATTAAGCAGGATTGATGTGTAAACCCAAGCTGTTTTGAACAGAGTGGGATTCTGGGTCGCCCTAATCAGAAGATGTCATATATGGGATATGTTACACGCTGGATTCTGTCATCCAAAAATTCATATGTTGAAGTCCTAATGGCCAGGACCTCAGAACGTGAACTGATTTGGAAATAGGGTTGTTGCAGATGTAATCAGTCAAGATGAGGTAATACTGAAGTATGTTGGACCCCTAATCCAATATGACTGGTGTCCTTATTAAAAAGGGAAACTTAGACATGCCCACAGGGAGAAGGCTGTGTGAAGATGAAGGCAGAGATCAGAGTGATGCAGCAGAAGCCAAGAAACACCAAAGACTGCCAGCAAACCACTAGAAGCCAGGAGAGAACAGATCCTCCCTCACTGCTCTCAGAAGAAAGTAACCTGAGGATATCTTGGTTTCAGACTTCTGTCCTCCAGAACCATGAGCCATTACATTTCTGTTTGGAACACACAGTTGTGTGGTACTTTGTTGAGGCAGTCCCAGCAAACTGATTCAGGATGCTCAGCAACTTGCCACTGAATATCCCTCTAGCCAACACCAACAAGTGTTCAAGACTTCCTCTTTCAAGATGGCCAAATAACAACTTTTTCATTCTTTATGCAAAAGTTATCGACCAACAGCAACCACAGCAAGAAACATGCATACACTCCATTTCTAATGGTACCCAGAACCTCTGTAGTCCTGAGCCATAGAACAAAGAAGAGAGAGAGACAGGAGCACAAACTGTCTGCAGAGGGCTACACTTAGTAGATGAGGCAATTCACTCCACAGAACCTAGGGAAGGTCTGGGGAATAGGGCACCAGGTTCTAGCAAAAGTTCAGGGATGGATGCTAAAAATGGGAGGTCCCTTAAAAGTTCATATAGAACTATAGACCCCAGAATTGTTTCCATCAATTGATGCAGTCAGCTGAATGCACCCACCCCACCCTCAACAGGAGACAGGAGTTTAGGCCCTGAAGAGATTGAATCAGAAAGCTCTGAATTTGTGGCCAATTGGCACAAAGCAGGTAGAGATGGGCTGAGGGAAAGGAAAGCTAGGAACGAAGAGTACACCACCCCAGTCCTCTTTCCCACCATCTCAGAACGTGGCCAGGCCTTCACCCACAGCTAAGACCTTGGAATAGCCTTCTTCGGGTACCTTGAACCACCTGCAGGAGGGATGTGAAGGTACAGTTGCATGGGAGTACCTGACCACAATGCAGTGATGCCCAGTCATTCCACAGCGAGGCACTGCTTCCCACAGAGGTCTCAGTCAGGTGTTCAGTGCCTCATTCTTAAATAGAATTAGACAGCTAGCAACAAATGGCATTGAGGGAAGCCTGCACCAGGAAAGACAGTGTCCAAAATACACAGGAAAGCAAAGGAGCTTGAAGGAGACAGACATTGCAAGAGGAGAAGAAAACTTCTTAAAAGCAAACTATAATACTCTCAGAGACATGGTATCCATGAAACAGATGAGGGAGATATAAAAAGAACAAGAGTTGTAGTCAATTAAAAATATGATAGCAGAAATAAAATATTCCGTTAAAAGGTCAGAGACAAAGTGAAGGAACTCTTCCAGAAAGTAGAATAAAAACACAGAGATGAAAAACAAAAGGGAAAAGATGAGAAAATTAAAGAATCAATTCAATACCATACTAATGAGCATTATGGAAAGAAACAAAACAGGTGCAAATTATCTCTATATACATTTTTTTAATAACTAAGCAACCGGAGCCTTCCAAGTGTCAAACCAGTGAATTAAGAGAAGACTCATGCTATGGCACATCATTTTGAAACTTGGAATACAGGGAATAAAATAATATTCTAAACATTTCCAAAGATAGAGTAAAGCATCATCTGCAAAACATCAGGAATAAGGGCAGTGACCTTTCCATTTGCACCACTGAAAGCTGGAAGACAATGAGCAATGACTTCATGTTCTCAATAAAAATAATATTTTAACTTAAATTTGATACCCAGTGAAACTATCAATCAACTTTGAGGGTTGAATAAAGATATTTTCAGATATGGAAAGTCTCAGAAAAAGTTATGTCCCATGCATTTTTTTTCTCAGGAAGCTCTCAAAGGATGCGACACCAAGGGAATATAAGGGAGTATGCAAAGAAAAGAGAAGAGAGTATGCCAAGAAAAGAGAAGATGTGGAATCCTGGAAAGAAGGGATCTAATACCGCGGAGGTGCCAGGGGAAATACCAGGACAATAGCTGTGCAGGAGACCTACAGAGCAGCTAGGCAAACTGAAGCAGGTGGATAAGGGATGACTCCAGAAAAACAAAATGAAACTGACAGAACAATTTCTAGATTTGACTCTGGAAAATTGTATTGAGAGGCCCTTTACAAAACTGTTGGGGTGTGTGAAAAGATTTGGCAGGGGTGAAAAAAAAAACAGACCCCTAAGTGAATGAGAATACGAGACAACTATTAACTCCAAGAAAAACAAAAAGCTTTGCAAGAAAAATTAAATCATAAAACACGACTTTGCTGGAAAGCCCAGCAATATAGGAAACAACATGTTCATAGTCATAATAATGAACGTTGATTAGGGAGTGAACAAAAAATTGAGGTAGTAGAAAGGAAAGGAAAAGGGGTATGTAGAAGAACTGAAATGTTGTTCACCATAACAGATAATGTCCAAATAGATAAATCAAGTAATATAAGTATGTTCATTAGAAATACAGAAGTAAATATCAAAATAAACAGCTAAAAAAGTTGAAAGTGGTTGCCTTCAGGGTTTTAGAGAGAGAGAGAGAGAAACAGTGTCTCTGTGTGTGTGTGCACGCGAGTGTGTGTAAAGGGGAGGGAGAATGGAGTAGCTGCTGTTTTTTATTAAAAGCTTCTTAGCACAATCTGATTTTTAAATAATGTGTGTGAATTATAGTGACAAAAATTGTTTTAAAGCTATATTTGAAAGAAGAAAGTCTAGAAACATCATGTGTTAGTAGAAGTCTTCATTGACATAAGGTGAATAAATGACTATCAACCAAGAGTGGTTTCTACTTTTTTTCTTTTGGAGACTTTTACTAGCAGGCACCTAATTTCTGTGTTTTGCTTTTACTCATGAGTTGAACAGAGTGATGGATATATATCCATCGCTATAATATCTATGGATATTATATCAAACTTAAAACTAGATAATTACACTGTCTTAATAGGTGGAGTAAGACATTATTAAATCCAAAGACTCTTACTGTCATCATCACTTTAATATGAAGGTAAATAGTTATAAACTGCACTTGTGGTATATTGTGAATTTTTGTTGTAACAAACAAGATTTAATGCAAAAGAGCTCTTTTGCCTCAATCTCTTTATATTTTATTCCCTGTTTCTAAGGGCATTACATTTAAATAGCAGCCATAGCCTAATAATAATTTTGTATGCAGTAAATGTTTTAACATTCTCCTTTAAATTATGAATAAAGATAATCTCCTTTATGAACAATAAAGGAACTCATACATAACCATAAGCCATAAGAATGTTTTCCTTATTTCACTTCTTTCTCAATGGAAATTATAAAGTTGGTAATAGAAACTCTTTCCAGGAGCATCATAATTGCTAAACTTGGAATTGCAGGTACTCAATTGCAATCAGCTGAATGTCACACATGCCATAACTTTACGAGTTTGACTGGGGTCATGCAAAGATAATCAGGGTTATAACGCTAATGCTTTCATTTACTAGCTGGGTGACAATGATCAAGTAGGTCACTGCATGCTTTTCATCCTCCACATGCATATATATTAAAGGAGTGAGAATACCAGCTATAGCAAATAGTTTCTTTACATGCACCAACTTCAGTGAATGGTAGAGGCTACCCAGAGCTCTGTTTTAAGAAGAATTATGAGACTGTATATGTCTGTGTTCAATTAGAAATTGCTGAGATTGATTAGTTATGTCTGGAGATTGATTAGTTATGTCTGCCTTAAACAGTAACTAAGAAAGTGCCTATCCTGACTCCATGTATTTGTCAAGCCTAGATTAGATTGTCTGGAAGATTAACTTCAGGCTCAACATTATTCTATTCCAGCCTATGATTTTTATTTTCTACATTGAGCCAATAAAACTTACCATTCTTTTCTTTCTTCACAGTGCATTTATTAGATTATAGAGCTAATAAATTAGATCTATGGATCTTAAGAAAAATGTATATAGTGCTTTTAGCCACTTAAATGAAGAAAAGTTGTGTCAAATAGCGTTTTTTAATGAACCAAACCTGTTAATTTTGTGAAACATTATACAAGGAATGTTTGCTATATAGACCAAATTTTTTTCTCCATCAACTTTAGTGTTTTTAATGAATCCTCTTTTTAAAACATAGATCATATGTAGTTGAAGAAATCAAGTCTACTACAAGGGGAAAAATGTTAGTTAATTGCACACATCTCTCAACAGGCAGACTTGCTTGATCTGGGATAAGCTGTTGACTTTTAACTATCACAAACGGAATTTCCTGATAGTCCTCTGAAATGGGTTTTCATAAAATTTGGTTATTTTCCTTTTCTTTTCTTTGTAATCATGACAACCTGTGAAACTGAGAAACTGGCCCATCTGAGGTCTTTCTGGGAGAAAAACCATTTTCAGATGAAGCTAGGTTCTTCTGACTCTGATATCTGATTCCAGGCTTTGTTCTAAGATGACGCATGTGACTGCCTTCATGCTGGCCATCTCCAATAAGCCAGAGCCAGCAACTCTAGCCCTGTAGAGATTTCTTTCCAGGAATAGATCTGTTTTGCCTGGTGATGTTAAGCTGAGTATATACATGTCCATTAATAAAATGTGAAAACAGAAAATAAAGGTTCTAACACATGACCTATATCTTTTGCTTTGCCAATATATATATACTTTAAAATTGCAATATATAGTATTTAACTTTCACTATCAAAATGTAGAAGAAAAGCACAAGAATTGGTGCAAAAACAGTAATTCAAACATCTAAGTACAAGGTACAGAGCTTTCCTTGAACATTTCAGCTGCTATCAATTATTGCTAATTGAGCTCTGGTTTTCCTTATCAAGTCTAAATCCGTTTCTAGAGGGAGAAGCTCTCCAGTGATGCTTTGTAAGTTTACAGTGGCAATGTGGGCTGAACTGGAACACTTGCCATATTATTCTGCTTTTGCCACTTAGGTGTTAATAGTGTTTAAAAATAATCACTATTCGAATTATTCCAGCTAGGATTTTATCTGTTCTTCTGCCTGATAATTCTTAGGGAAAACATAGTCCTTTTACCTTCAGTAGTGGCTGCCCAGTACTTTTTGAACACCCTTTTTATATGCAAGAAATCATCTTCCTTACGTGCCCCACATCTCTTAGTGAGAAAATAGGGAACTTTCTTCCCAGCCACCTTGTAGCTGGACACAGGCATGTGACCCACACCCCACCAATCACTATACTTAAATGTGACTTGTGTTACTGTTTGAGGGAGGGGCTCTATGGAATCAGTTTGGTTGTTGAGGTGGTATTCTAGGCATCCAGGACACCAGGGTTGGAAAGTTGGGCTCCTGGGTAGAAGTGGCAGGATGGTTGTTTGGTGCAGTTATGTCCTGGCAGCTGAGCAAAGAGGAGCCCCCACTGCTTGGCATTGGCATAACCTTTGGTGTTTTCCTCCTCGGATCAGTTTTGGACATGGTTTTGGACATTGTTTCTGGAATCCTCAAGCCTGGTTCTCCAGACATTTAGCAATTCCATGAGAGATGCAATATTTTTTCAGTCAACTCTTTTTGGGCTTGGTCTTTTGAATTAGAATTAGTTCCATTATTTGAAATTAAGAACCTTGGCTAATACGTTGTTCTTCCAGGAGAACGTTCTTTCTATATATAAGATTTTTGCCAGGAACTTTTGCATCTTCCTCTGGAATAATCACAGAAGCAGATCATCTTCCTCTGGAATGATTAAGAAAAATCATGACATGAACTTGCTATGTGGAATCTAGAAAAGTCGAATTCATGGAAGCAGAGCAGAAAGGTAGTTACTGGGAGCAGAAGTGGAGGGGAACTGAAGAAACGTTGCCCAAAGGACACAAAGTTTCAGTTATGCAGGATGAATACTGCCAGAGATTTAATGTACAGCCTGGTGACTGTGGTTGATAATACTGTATTGCATACTTGCAATTGGCAAAGGGAGTAGATCTTCAAATGTTCTCTCCCTCCCTCCCCCGGACCACACGTATATACGCAGTAACTAAGTGAAGAGATGGATATGTTAATTAGCTTGACTGTAGTAATCAGTTCACTGTGTAGTAAATAAAATTAACAAAAAAGGAAAAACAATGATAATATAGATTGCCTTTGATTTTTCCTATGCATGACTTGGAAATTTAGCATATATTTATTGAGTACCTACCACATGTGACCCTGTGCTGATGCTAGGATGCCATGGGAGGTGGTAGAGAATATAAAGGTAAGTAAACCAAAGCTCACAGTTTCAATTTAAAATAGTTCTGTGTAAAATTATTAAATTACTCTTTAATTACTCCAGCAATTCCCAGCAGTCTTTTTTAAACAAATATAGCCTCAAGCCTCTTGCAGAGATGCTTTTACTTCTTACATATTTATATTTATTTTTATTGTGCATTTAAAAAATATTTTTCCCAAGTATCTATTGACGGATGAATGGACAAACAAAACAAAGTGTAATACACACACACACACACACACACACACACACACACAGACAAACACAGGAATATTATTTAGCGTTTAAAATGAAGGAAATTCTGACATGCTGCAACATGGATTAACCTTGAAAATATGCTAAGTGAAACATGCCAGTAACAAAGGGGCAAATAGTGTTTGATTCCACTTATATGAGGCACCTACAGTGGTCAAATTCGTAAAGGCAAAAAGTAGAATAGTAGTTGCCAGGGGCTGAGGGTAGGGGAGAATGAGAAATTATTAGATAGTGGAGACAGAGTTTGTTTGGGAAGATTTTTTAAAGTTCTGGAAATAGATGCTGGGGATAGTTGCTCAATTATGTGAATGTACTTAATGCCACAAAATTGTACACTTAAAACACTTAAAATGGGCCAGGCACAGTGGCTCACGCCTGTAATCCCAGTACTTTGGGAGGCAAAAGTGGGCGGATCATGAGGTCAGGAGTTTGAGACCAGCCTGGCCAATATGGTGAAACCCCGTCTCTACTACAAAATGCAAAAATTAGTTGGGCGCTGTGGCGCGTACCTGTAGTCCCAGCTACTTGGGAGGCTGAGGCAGGAGAATTGCTGGAACCCAGGAGGTGGAAGTTGCAGTGAGTTGAGAGCTCGCCACTGCATCATTCCAGCCTGGGTGACAGAGCGAGACTCTATGGGGAAAAAAAAAAAAGTTAAAATGGTAAATTTTATGTTACTTATTTCTTACAACAAGAAAAATGCTTTTTAACCAAACAGAATATAAACTCTTGTGAACAGGGCTAGGGAACTGATTTTCTCCTAATCACTAAGAAAATTCCACCTGAGAGGCAAGGGCCTAGGAGTTGGAGAGCTGGGCTCCTGTTTGGTGCCAGCTCTGTGGTTAGCTAGCTATGTGAACTCCACTCAACCTTGCCAAGCCTCAGTTTCTTCATCTTTCAAATGAGTAAGAGTGGGGAGGGGCACCGCATATCTCAGTGCTCTGATTTCCATTTAACCACAGATTTAGAACCAAGGTGGCTTGGCTTCAAATATTCAACTCCTCTGCTGGCAAATAAACAGATCTTCGGGAAACTGTACTTGTCTTCCAGAGAAAAGGTTTATTTCAGTAGGTTCTCACAGAGCAAATCTAAGCACCAACAATGTAGAGTTTTGAGAATGCAGAGTATTTCCTGAACACATAATCCTTCCCTCCTTGAAACTGTCTATGATGTAGGAATTCAGTTCCCATCCAGATTTACAGATGTAAATCTTCAGTTACCTAATAAAATGGAGAGAAGAAAATCATGTGATTATATTTTGAATCTAGTAATACTAATGAATTCAAAGCCAGACTTCATTTTAGAGGGCTTTTGTAAAAAGTTCTATTTTCCAATCTAATGCTTGGTGTTGAGTCTTGAAAATTTAAGGTAATGCAAACCCTATCATTTCCACCTCTAAAAATTCTATCAGAGTCTCTAAGAATCTATGTTTAGGCTCCTTACACAGCGGCAAACATGGAAACAATATTTATCGTCCACAACTTTCCTAGGTAGATCAAATTGTTCAACACAGAACTGGCATTCTACTGGCAAGTGCCTGGTTACCAGCTAAATAGTTGGGTACACCCAGTAGACCTGCAGATAGAGAAAGCTTTCAAGACCAGTCTGGATACAAACAATATCTGGGAATCAATTGCCTAGGACTATCTCAATGGTAGGAGAAGTCTGCCTCAAGGAAATGTGTATTGTTCTTGAAAATGCCAGACACCAGTAGGAAACACAAACACAGACTCAAAAGAAGCAGGGAATGGCAGACTGAATAAACAGCACGTGCGCACCCATTTTCCTAGGAAATATGTGTCCAAGACTGAAGAGTTGTGGTGCAGTCTTATCTGTCATTTACGTCTTAAAGATAGGTGAGTCTTGGATAATATCGTGCTTGTGCCCCACAGGAGGCTGCCAACTATTATCATAGATCATCCACTAGAGGGTGACAACCACATATGCTTAGGGATGGATGACTGTAGACACAGTGCACATTCCACAGTCCTGAGAAGAGTTTCTTGAAGCTCATCCGCCTAAGTGGTTGGACTTTCACTTTGGAGTCGCCCATAAAAAGGAGAGAGGGAAACTATACATCTTTTCCATACTTATGGCCTAGGTTGTCTCTCCTTTTCAGACTTAGTTAAGAAAAAATTAAATATATATACGAATTTTTTGTAAGTAGAAGGAACACCTCCTATCACATTAAATAGGAGGTGAGTATCTCTAACAGTTGGGAGAAGGACATGCTGAGATTTTTTCCTATTACTATTATGGATCTTTGGGACAGTTTCAGTAAGTACTTTCAGGGGGTACTTGGTTTTTCCAACTTGAAAATGGGGGCTATTCATTATAAATCTTAGAGCAAAATTCTGATAGCAAAGTAGATAGAGGAATATAGAACCTTTTATTAGAAGGTTTTTGTGTCTTTCTAGGATAATTATTACAAGTAGTATCAATATATACCAACTAATATGCATGAGATAAGATGGCGGGTCTGAGTCTTGGTTGGGATGTGGGTCTGGAATCTTGGATTATGGACATAAGAAATATTATGAACACTTAATGAACACCTAGGCAGCAGGCTCAAGCCCAAGCACACACCACAGTAGCTTTCGAATAGTTTGGATGTATTCTAATTTGTATTTCTCCCCAGCTACTTTTGTGGGTAGTCATTTAGGCAGCCCTTCATAGAGTTCTGGGTCTTTTCCTTAACTTTCCACAAAAATGTTTCAGCTTTAGGAAGAGGTTTTGGGAAACCAGAATGTTTCCATTACTGTACGGTTAAACCTTTTGTTCACTACTTAGACAAATATACTGAGCACTCATTTTTGTTTTTTTTTTAAGAGACAGTAGCTTTTATAACAGGCTCGAACATAAGCTCCTGTGAACTATGTACATAGTAAGTCCTCCGTAGCTGTTGCATATATAATCCATGGTTAGTATAAAATTATCGTAATTTTAAATAAGACAAGCCATAGTTCTATGAGTGATATAATTTTAAATAAGACAAGCCATCGTTCTTTGAGTGATGTGTTTGAGTGATGCTTCTTGATACTTCTTTCAGCTTAAACATAGAAATCATGATCACACCACTGCACTCCAGCCTGGGTAACAGCGAGACTCTGTCTCAAAAAAATAAAAATTAAAACTAAAATAAACATAGAAACCAGATTTTCTTTGGTTTCCTCTGTCGGTGACTTTGGCTGGTTCTCTTTTGCATGTTCGTTGATGTTTCTCCTTGCCTTTGTGTTTAGTGTTTTTAGCAGGCGGTGTTTATAATAGACTAAAACTTTGGGAGCCAGACAGACCTGGGTTCAGTGGGTTTACATTGCTGGGTTTTATAAGGATTAGAAGCAAATATATGTACAGTGCCTGGCACAAAATATATAAACAAAATGTTGTTTGTTAGTTATTAGTACTAGCTGTATTAATAATAATAATGATACTATATATAATAATATACATTTGTATATATAATAATATATATTTGTATATTTTATATATATAAAATGATAATATTGGAAAGCTAGAGGGTGCAGCGAAGAGATGGCAGGGTGAGCGTGGTATAAGTCTGAATTTGGCCATCTGGTTATTTGCAAGTTCTCTTCCAGCAAATATTTGTTGTGTACCTTCCATAAGCAGCATTGTTCTAGGCACTGGGGACCAAGTGAAAAACCAGACCCCGTCCTAGGAACAGTATTTGCTGTTTACATTGTCATATAGGAAGGAGCAGTGCACTTAGCAAGAGAATTTTTTAGTGGTGCTGTTTTGGGACCTGCTTCTATTTAACTTAACGGAAACTGTTTTCAGTAACAGATTTATTGAGATATAATTCACATACTATACAATTCACCCATTTAAAGCATGTAAGTCTGTGGTTATTAGCATATTCAGAGTTGTACAATCACCATCACAATTAATTCTAGCAGTCGCTCCCCCAGTCCCCTTACTCCTACCCCCACCCCCAGTTCAAGGTAACAGCTAATCTACTTCCCGTCTCTATAGAGTTGCCTGTTCTGGACGTTTCATCTAAATGGAATTATAGAATATGTGGTCTTTTATAAGTGGCTTCTCTCACCTAGTTTAAAGTTCTCAAGGCTCATCCATGGTTATAGCATGTATCAGTATTTTATTCCATTTTATGGCTGAAAACATTTTTGAAGTTTCCTTAATGCACATTAAATACTCATATGTTGATTGATTCATTCATTTTGTTTTTCTAGTCTGTGTTGTTTCTCTCTCACTCTTTCTCCTGCCCTTTCTTGGACAGGTTTTCTCTCTTCCCTTCTCTTTTGAAAGCAACCACCCTCCTACTGTTACCGCAGACTCCTGCTTTAACTTTAATATCTACTGAGATTTGGAGCCTGTGGCACCTACTCTTTGCAATGACAGAAAATCTGGTTTCTGTCCTTTATTTCTTTCCAGTCCTTTCAGTTTCAATCTGTGTGCCCTCCAAATGCAATAGCTTAAGATTTCTTTAAAGAACATCTTAGACTTGGCCTTGGAATGGAAGCTTCAAATGATATCTAAAGAATACATGAACCAGCCAAAGGAGAAAGTGGAGGGAATTAAAAAAAAAAAAATCAAGAATGACAGCCAGAGAATTTTCACAAAATTCGGACAGGCTGTGGCCGTTTCTTATTCTTATGTCTGATGGATTGAACATTTCCCACAAGGGCTTGGTACCATCTAGGACCTGAAGATACGCTGAAGGTTCCTCGTAAAATCCAGCCTCTATTTTATTCTCACTTCCTTTCTTCTGGGTTTGGCCTATGCAAAGCCCACCGATAAGTTATAAATGACTTATCAAGCATCAGCGTTTGGAGAGTAGACGGCTCCATAAATACCTACTTGGCCTCATTAAAAAGCTACAGCGATTAAAGAGAATGATTAGTGTGGTGCCAGAGGGGAAAGCAGAAAATCCAACATCTGACTCAAAAAGGGCCAGACCTCTTCTCAGGGAAGACCGCGGGTGTCAGGGAAGAGGATCTGGCCCGCGCCCCGGAGCGGAGCGCCGGGCGTCGGCGTCTGCGGAGCCTGCACCAGGGCCTGTCACGGGAAGAGTTATGAAAAGTGCACGCGTTCTCAGAGACGATTACCCTCTTGCCCTCCACGCCTCCTTCCCAACCTCCCCTTCCACTCCCTGCTGCCCCCACTGGAACTCAAAGCATGATTAAAACAGAGAAACCTATAACGGGGATGAAATGACCCTCAAATGACTGCTTAATTACAGCGAAATGAAAGCCGGGGGGCTACAAATAACCAGGAACTGTCCCGGCTGTCACTGAAGAGGAGCCTGCGCATGAGTCATGAGTCATGAATTAGCCACTAAGTGTTCGCCGCCAGCCCCCGGCCGCCCGCCTCTGCCCTGCCCGAGCCGGGCTCGCCGGCCCTCCACGCCTGGCCCCACAGAGTCCCCCGCCCCCGCGGGCGTCCGGGCCGGGTCGGAACCGGGCGGTTGTTGTGATTCCCAGGGTTCCCCAGTCGCCCCCGGCCGCCCGGTGGGTCGCTGGGTCGGGGAAGGCTCCCAGGCTGCGCAGGAGACAGGCTGACTGAAGGAGCGCAGCCAGCGCGGCTGCAGATAAGTTAATGTACACAGAGAGGATGTAAATTACCACGACCCGCAGCAGCAGGACATTGGCCAGGGCCCTGTCAGGGAGAGGACAAGCGTCGGGGGCTGCGCGCTCGCTGACACCCACCCGGGATGGAGCCGCCAGGCGGCCCGGCCGGGGAGGACCTCTTGGAGCCAGGCTTTCCTTGAAAACAGCTGCGTGTCCCTGACACCTCCAAACTAATGCATTTTTAATCAGAGGAATTAGCTCTAGGCGTCCCATATTTTTCCAACCTCCCCCCACCAACCCCTGTCTCTTCCAGCCACGTCCCCCTCCCCGCCCCTAGGTTAGGGACTGGCAGTCCCATTCTGTTTCTTTATCGGGACTCTGCAGAGTCCCCCGCTGCCCCTACACCCCCGAGACCAAACCACTTTTAAAAAAAAAATCTCCCTCCCCACCCCCATCCTCCCACCAGCCCTCCTCCACCGCCGGGTTCGCTCCAATGCAACTTTCGCCCCCACCCTTCCCTCTGTTTATACAGTGACATCACAGCCCCTGGCTCTCTCCAAGACTCAAAGAAAACAGAGTTCAAAAAGGCAAACAGGAAAGCCCGCCGGTCGTGGGCACGGGGTGAGATTCGGTCCACCCGCGGCGGACCGCGCAGACGCGCATGTGCGCGCACCTCGGTGTGAGCCCGTCTCCACTGGGACATCCTCGGGAAAGGGCTGCCCAGGCCGTGCTCCCCGTCAGCCCCGGGGAACTCAATTCCCTTAGGGAATTGAAAAATGTCCAGTAGTCACATAAAAGAAAGTGAAAAGGTAAAACAGGTGAAATTAATTTTAACAATATATTTTTAATCTGATATATTCAAAACATTATTTCAATATGTAATCAATATAAAAATTATAAATGAGATATTTCATATATTTTTTCACAGTGAATCTTCGAAAAATTACACTCACAACACATCTCAATTCAGACACAAATTTTTCATTGGAAATACTTGATCTGTAGTTACATTTCATAAAACTTAGAGTTGAAAAAATTGATTCACATACTCACATTGTTCCAAAAATATTTAAGCATTTTTCAATAACTGAATCCAGTGTTAGTTCTTAAGTGTGAATTTACACTAATGTGAAATAAAATAAAATTTGAATTAAATGAGAATTTGGAGTTAAATAAAAAATTAAGTTTCTTTGTTGCCCATTTTAAATTCCTAACAGCCACTTGCAGCTAGCGGCTATCAGATTAAACAACAGGGATAGAGAGTAATAGAATCTCCAAACTTCAGCTCTTGTTAACATAAAGTGGAGATAATAGTATCTACTTTATGTAGGCTTGTTGTAAGAATTAAATGAAATACAGTAGAACAATGTATATTAAGTACTCGGTACAGGGCCTAGCACATAGTAAGTACTCAATAATGAAGGTAACTCTGAGAATTATTTCTCCACTTTGATTATTTTTGCACCCCCACCCCCCATCCTTAAACTCAGCGATTCATACTTCCTTCCTCCAGAACTTGCTCTTAGGAAGGATTGTTACATGAATTCGCAATAAGCTGCCAAAAATGAACAGAGTATTCAAACACTCAAGTGTCCTTCCGTCCCTATTTATTAGACACCCCTTTCACCCACAACATGCCTTCAGCTTCATTACTGTCTGTGCTGGCCACTCCAGATTTTATACATAGAACAGGTCTTCAATGGTATCTCTCCAGCTACCTAGTAAAGATCTTGCAAAGATATTTTTAACCCAATCCACCAAAACCTGAATTGATGCGTATCATCCCTCATGTGCCTCTCCTGTTCCCGCATTGGGTGGTGTTGCCATTCCCTTGAAAGCCTCAGCCAAACTCTGGCAGTCATTAGAGGTTCTTCTTCTTCCTTCATTGTTCCCCTCACCACATCCCCTTAGGCAATCACTAAGTCTTACAAATTCTACTCCTAAACACCTCCCAAATCCATTGATGTGTCTCATTGTCGACTGTTATCCTTCACTTAGATGTTGTAACTGGTCTTTCTACCTCTGCTTTGCCCCCCTTCAATTCATTCTTCGTGCTTCAGCAAGAGTAACTTTTCTAAAGCGTGAATCCAATTATGCAACAAGCCTGCTTAACACTTAAATGACTTTTGACTCTTCCACAGGGCCTATGAGGTCCTTATGGAGTTTCCTTGCTTAACCCTTTTTTCCTGTCTTTTAAAAAACCGCCTTTACCGCCTTAACCATCCCCCTCCTGCCCCCAATTTCCAGCCTCTCTGAATCTCTTCCAGTTTATCTAACACACCACGTTTCCTGACGGAGGAGCTCCCACGCATGGCCATGCTGGGTGCATCATATTCATGTCTATCCTACAAGTCACAACCCCACTCTGAGATGGTATTTGGTATGCACAGCCAGATACGTCTTCCCATTTTGCCTCATGGCAACCTGTCTGCATATTTGACGGTATCTGTTTCAGAGGATCCCTCAGCTTTTGGCTGAAAATGCCAGCTCCCTCTCAAAACTCTGTGCATGACACCTTTAGAAATCCTTTGAGGTGCTAAACATTTAGGTCATCAAAGGGGCACACTGACTATTACTGATTTTGTCTGGTTCCATTCCACAACACCGATTTTTGTAATGTTTCCTTTCTTTGTTTCACTTTGACTGTAGAAGCTGGCTAAGATGCATTGGCACTAGCACTATCTATTGCATGCAAAAGTTTTGCTCAAAAGAAGTGTTGATGTTGGAGCTGTGAGAAAAGCAGGCCCTACGTTGCAGGACTTGGGGGAAGAATGGAATGTGAAAAGCTCACTTTAAAATGGTAGGGGTTTGGGTGCCAGGCAGGAGCAGTGGTAGAGCATTTCAGAGACCAGTCCGAGCCTAATGAGGTCTGCCAGGGCTCTGGGCAGGCGTCACCAGCTGGCTGTTTGCCACTCCTCTTGCCCTCCCAGACACACACAGTGCTGGGGAGTCAGCACTTATGCTAACACTGGAGACAGGCGGGCAACATGAGACTGGTGGATGAGGGCAGTGATGGCTAGGTATTTTCCCAGAGGACCAAAGAGCAGGATATGTATGTCTGGTTTCTGCCTCTGACACCTCCAGGCCTAGGGATGGATTCCCAGTGATCTCCTTCCATCAAAGGGCTTGATCCCAGGAAAGGCGAGTGAAGATGAAACTTCAGCTCTTTGTCTGCCTTTGGGATAAAGCTATGTGAAACTGTCAAAGCAAATATCATGTTTCCCTGGAAAACCATAAATTCCTTTGGCTCTGGGTCCAGGAGGTTTGTCATGTGGTTAGAGGAAAGATGAGTATGTTGATCACAGGTCATCAGCTGTAAGGTTCTGTAGCTCGGGGCCCGGGTCCACAGTGCCAGCTGCTATAATACCAGGTATAATGTTGGGTTCAAGTAATGCTTAGTAAATACTCTTTAATTACAGCTCAAGATGAAGACAGTGAAACAGCTTGCTGTTTGTTATGTACCTGGCAACTGATGTGTATCATCAGATCAAATAGAGGTGTTGATAAATTTTGTCAAGGGGACTGTAAATTTTAAAAATGGAATAATCATAAATGCTCTTGTGATAGAATATACCTGAAAATCTTCAGAAGGAAATGGAAGATTATGAAATATTTATTTATTTGTTTGTTTTCTGGCTAGTTGGTTGATTTTTGCCAGATTCTTTATATATTAAAGTAGCATTAACATTAAATTCATGCTACAAAATCAGATAGAAAAGAAAGAAATTACCATGAGTAAACATTTTTTTTCTCTTTTATAGTTTTGTAAACAGGGGCTGTGGATGCTTAAATAATGCTTTTCAAAGCTCCATCTTTCTTACTGTGCTTTGGTCAGAAAGAAAAAAAATACATGAGAAAAGCTATTTTGATCACCCATAGTACAGCAGTTGCTGTATCTTGTTAGCCTTTTTGTGGCATATTTAGCATTCTAAATTTCTAACAGTTATTTCACCCATATCATTTAACAAGCACTTCTTCATGTTATAATAAACCCTTTATGAATATAAATTTTAATGTGTACAGACTGTACTATCATGTAGATTTGCAACACTTACTTAACCACTCACATATTATTGGTTATTTGGGTTATTTTATTTTAAAATAAGAATTTTCCAAAGGTTCCCTTAGGAATAGAGTCCCATCAGTTTTAAAGTTATGGCAATATTTAATGTACATAGGGTAATATTTAATCATAAAGTATTGTTTTGGTGAAAATTAAAAGAGCCAGAAGTTTTATGTTAAATTTTTTTTAATATTGGCATAATACTAAAAGCAATCAACCAGCTTCATTGAGCTCCCAATTTCAGAGAAAAACTGGCCTCTTCAAGTAAAGATTCCTTGTTCTTAGAGGGGAGGAGCTGATAATTAAGTAATCACAAGAAACAATGCATGGCAAGGGAACTCGCCCAGTGTAGACCAGAAAATGTCCTCCGGAGAATGTGGCATTTAAACCAGGACTCCTCAGGACAAGGAGGCTTTGAAAGCCCCAGCTATCCTGGCATGCTCAAATACTTTGGGGGGATAGCAGTGGATAAAACCCTTCTGGAAAGTAGTCTGCTAATATCTAAGAAGGGTTTTAAATATTTTCTTATCTTTTTAAAAAATGTAAATATTCAGAAGTAACCAGAAAAGGTGAAAGAAGTCAATGCACTAAGGTATTCATCTTAGCACGATTCATCATAGGGAAGAAGGAAACCATTTGTATGTCTAAGCTGAGGGACTGGCCACGACTGTGCCTACACTGGAATGTATGCATCATTAAAAAGTATACTTAGAGTAATGTAAAACTGGTGAGAAGACCGTTCTAGGATCAAAGAGGCATAACAAAAGACAATGCATGAAATAGTTTGAAAATAAACAGCAAAAAGTCATTGGGGGACAATTTAAAAAATTTAAATATCAACTGGATATTAAATGACGTTAGCGAATAATCGTGAATATCCTCTTGCGATAATGATATTATGATTATGTGGGAGGATGTTCTTATTTTTAGGAGATGCATATTGAAATATTTATAAGTGAAATGCTACGATAATTGCAGTTTACTTTCAAATATTTCAGCAAAAAAACACATATGTATATATGTATGTCTGCTTACCGACTCCCTGGATTTTCTAATTGGAAGTAGTACTGAGGAAGATCCAACACAGGTAATGCATAAGGACACGAAACAGCAAAATCTAAACACATACGCACACACAGAGCAAATATGGCAAAGTATATATAATTATTGACTCTAGGAGGAAAATACATGTGTAGTCATTGCACTTGCCTTTTAACTTTTGTGTGTTTGAAAATCTTCATAACAAAGAAATGCATTATGCAGCATTACCTAGAAAAATTGAAAATCTGCTGTAATGGTTAAGGGATTGTATCAGGATGGTAGATTTATGAGAGATATTTTCTTCTTAATACTTGGATACATTTTCTACAATGAACATAGATCATTTTTATTATCAACAATTAAAGCCACATTCTGTCAAGCACTTACTAGGTTCCATGCTTTGCATGAATTATTCTATTTAATTCTTACAACAACCTTAAGAAGGTAGAATTATTACTGTCTTTTTATAGTTGAGGACACTGATGTTTAAAGAGATCACACTACTTGCCCACTGATATAAGTGGCTATGCCAGGATTTGAACCTAGGCACAAGTGATGCTTTTACAATTCAACAATATCTTGAAAAATATTTTGAAAAATAAAAAAAAATTATCTATATAACTGAAGATTTCACCCCATAGGCAGTGTAACGATATGGATTTAGAAGCCGAAATCACGATTCAAGCCCTGGCTCTGCAGTTTGCAACTTGGGTGGTTGTGTGGTGGGTGTGCAATGCCTGATCTCTCCTCCTTTGGTGTAAATGGGCCAGTGTGCTGTGAATGATAAATTGTCCAACAAAATAAATTGAGATCATTGCTCTGAGGGCCTGATAGTGTAACTGAATATCTGGAAGACCATCACTGTCCAACTTTATGCTTGGCCTTTTACATCTTATTTTAGAGTTTGATTCCGTTGTACTGAAAACATCTTTGGGTGACATCTTTTGTTTTGTCTTGCTTTTTGCTTTTTCTAGAATTGTAAAGGATAAGAATAGAAAATTGTCCTTCATTTGTTGATAAACCCTGGTTGAGATAATCTGCCCTTCTCATTGGTGGCATAGCTGACAACCTAGGAGTGTGTCTAAAGGATGGCTTCCCTCAAAGACAGAGACCAAAAAGTTGTATCAAGATACAAGGCAGATCTATAAAGAGTGGGCTTCCATATCTCACTTTGAAAACCTGAACACCATATCCCTCATTTTCAACATTTGCATCTAGACTCAGGCTAAACAGTAGAAACTACAATGAATTGTTGCTAACTGATGAATGGGTGTTGAGAAAACTTACTCTACTTGTGTAATTTCCTGTCACCAGCATGAAACGGTCAAGAAATTGCCATTGTTGTGAAAACTTCAACTAAATAATTCAGAGATACAGAAAACTGGCACAAGAATGTTATTTCTCCATTTGGACAGAAAAATCTCTGAACTTTCTGAAGTTCACCCATCATTGTTGTAAAACTCTAAAGATCAAGTTTACTTTGGAAGTTCTGCTACAACCTCGAGTATCATGTTAGCCATAGCATGGCAGCTGGGAAAACGGAAAAGAGCAATCCACTATTTCCAAGTACACACCTCTATTATTTTAAAGCTCACAGTGTTTGTTTTACTAATTTGGAGAGAAGAAAAGATCACAGATTATTTCTCAGGTTAGTGTTTAACATTTTGCTTTTCCAAATCAACCTTCCTATTATCAATGCCATTACTGAAGAGCATGGATATAATAAACTCATATCATGAATGTGAATAAATAACATGAGCTAGACAATCTTTGACTAGGGTTGACCATCCTCAATCCTTTCAAAGTTTGTCTATTTGTTTTTTGTTACTGATGTAAGCAATGACAAAAACTTAACCTTTTTTGTTGAAAGAAAAAGAAAGAGAGAAAGCAAGCTAAGATCCCCCGTGGGAATGCATATGGAGTCAGTTCATGTGTAGAGAGCTACATAGTCCCATCATCTCATTGGGACACCACGAAGTAGTGCGACCAAGAAAACAGCTGTCTTCCCTTTGTGTGATGAAAACATCACACAAAAGTGACACAGGGCCCTTGGAAGGTTAAGGTTGTATCACTAGGGACACCAGAAGGCAGTGACTGGCAACAGTAAATAATGGCTCACGATTAATGGTTGGAAACCTACTGATAAGACCATTGGATACCAAAACATCAGAGGAATGTTGGCTCCAGTTGGTTTAATCCTGCAGACCATTATAATCTGAGCACATTGTAAGGCTTATTTGCACTGTTTCTCTTATCTCTTTTTCTTGAAGATTTAAATTAAATTTATATCCTTAGCTTAACAGCTCAATTTCTTTTTTAAATTTTTTGCTCAGTCAAGAAGTATATATTAAGTAATAACTATAATACTAAACTAAGTGTGGTGAGGAACACAAAGAAATACATCTTATTATATAGTTCTCAAGGAACTTAGAGTTGAGTTGGTAGGGTCAGAGAAACAAGAAGCAATGATTAGTATGCGGTTAGATTAGTCAGGGAAGGCTATGGAAAGGCAACTAATGAATCCTGTTCACTGACTCATTTCATTTATCCATTTGCTGTGAAACACTTCCTGAATTCCAAAGAGTGGCAAGTGATTATGCTGGTGAGGAATGCCCATTCTTACCAGAACTTCGCTAAGGTAACAGAACCTCACTAACTATGTGGAAACCACCTAATCCACCCTTTGCATGTGGGTCGGTAGTTTTTCTTTTTCTGTATTTAAAAAATTTCCATTTCCACAGACTTAAAGGTAGTTGTGGAATGTGGCTTTCCTTTTCAGCAAATCCAATGCCAGCATTGTTCTCTCGGGCCAGCATTTATCAAGTTTTGATATTTTAGTTTAGTGGTGACCATTATATTTATTTTCATAGTGAGAAATCTAAGTCATTTTGGGCACTGGTTCAAGGTTACACGATGAAGGTTACATCATGGACTCTTTCCCTGAACTCACTAACAAACTGGAACTATAATTCATGAGCAGTGGTTCAGCCAGGAGGTGAGATGGGGCCAATGTCACACCATGACTGTTGAGAGGACTTACCTAACAGATGGCAACCTTTTGACAATGACTGTATTTCCTAATTTCTAGAAATGGAATTCTAGGCAACTTACTTTTCTTTTCTTGCTTGAAATATTATACTGAGTGATCAAGAGCACTGGGATTGTCAGGGTCACCAGTGTCCTCCATTGATAAATCCAGAGGTCAGTCTCAGGCCTCATCTTAGTTGAATTCTCTGAACAGTTGCTCTACTTGATCAATCTGTTTCCTCTAAAGCCCTTTCTTTACTTGACCTCTGGGTCATCACACTCACTTGGCTTTCCTCCTGCCTCACTGGCTGTTCTTGTTTTCCTTTACTGGTTCTTCTTTATCTTCTCAATCACCTAACATTGAAGGCCAAACCAAGTTCCTCATCCTTTCTTCAAATCTGTTTGTGATCCACCTCAAGAAATGGCAACTCTTGCTTCCAGATGTTCTGGCTAAAACACTTAGAGTCATCTTTGACTCCTCTTTTTCTCTTACACACCACATCCCATCTGTCAGGAAATTTTGTTGGTGCTTCCTTTGAAATATATCTGGAATATGTCCCCTCTTATTACCTCCACTGCTTCTACCCTGGCCAGACCACCATGATTCCTTCCAGGATGATTGCAATAGCTGTATCCCTGCTTCTTCCCTTGTACTTCTAAAGTCTACCCATAACACGGATCCTTTAAACTTATGTCATCTCATGTCACTTCTCTGCACAAAACTCTCCAATAGTCCCCATCTCACTCAGGGTAAGAGACGAAAGTCTTTACAATGACTTCCAAGGCCTTCCATGACCTGGCCCCTATAACTTCTCTGATTTGATCTCCTTCTACTATTCTTTTTCTCATATCTTTGCAGCTGCAGGCATGCTTTCTGTTTCTTCAACATTTCAGGAATGCTCCTGACTTGGGTATTTTATACTAACTGTTCCTTCTGCCTGCAATGCTCCTCCTCCCTGCGGCCGGGTGACTCACTCCCATACCTTCTCCAGGTCTTTGCTCAAGCATCAGAGAAGGCTTCCCCAGCCAATTTCACACCACAACCACATCCTTATCTCCCAGAGTACACATCGTCATTTGATATACTATTTATTTTGGTTATGGATGCTGTCCCTCACAGCCACAAAATGTGGTCTCCATGTGGACAGGAAATACTTAGTTTTCTTCATTGCTATATCCCTAATGCCTAGAAATAATGTCTGGCACGTAGTAAGCACTTAGATGTTTTTGAATGAACATTTTACTCCAGGCCCACATCATGAAACAAATCTCCAGTGAAGCTCATGCCCAAGGCTGTGAAGAAGTTGTTACCATGGGCACTTCTCTGCTTACACTTGTTCTTACAGCAGAACAAGAAGCCGTGTTGCTTGGCTTTGTTTTGTCTTGATCCCCTTATAGATCATGTCCTTGTGACGGCTGTGCCTTCCCATTTATTTTGTTCTGTTCTCCCTCCATTATTTTGTTTCTGTACCATAATATAGTCAGTTCATTTTTAAAGATCAAGACTATGTAACTAAAATGTGAAGAAATCTTAGGGTTGGCCTGTACATCAGAGATAACTATGAAGCAATGAGATTGAAGCAAGATATTTTCATCATAAAAAAAAAATTCTGAAAAAATATAGAGTCACTGGAGAGATTTCTTTTTTTCTGCTCCTGAACTGGAGCAAACTGGACTGGTTGATAGTATTATATCACCAAATCTGGGTTAATCACAAGGAAATAATGAGATTAAGTTAGAGGTAGGCATGGAATGGGGCTTACAGACGGACTGAAGTTGTCAATTAGGTATGTTAGTTGCTAATTTGGGATGATGAACGACTGAACAACAACATGTAAATGTCTGGTGCGGCCTGTTGTTGGTGAAAGTCTCAGTTATAACCTTCTCACTCTGCATGTGAAATGTCCAAGGCAGAAAAGTAGCCATAGTGAGTCTGTAATTCCCAAGCTTGATGAACTTTAATGGGCTGGTTTCTACTGGTCACACACACAAAATCCAGTTTCCACCCATGGTCACTCACAGCGCCTTGATGCGCTTAGCTCACTGGACAGCTTTCAACTACTTAGAGTTTATATTTAATTGGCTCATCCATTCTATCCCAACTTTTGAATAATTCAATCCTTCTGTTCACCTTCTGTCTCATTTACATTTTTGTCTACCAGTCTGAGACCTTCCTTTTCACCTTTCAAACATGAGCCAGTTACAGCACCATGGATCATCCAGCCATACTCTTGCTCCAGAATTCTGTTTGAGGCAATCCTAGCATCTCTACCTTTCTTCAAGTTAAGTCCTCTGAAAGGCTTATCCTTCTCACTCGTTTCAACACCTGTGGTCCCAACACTGCTTACAGCAGCAGATAATACAAAATTAGGTCCAAAACAAACAGTTTTATACTACAATTAATATTCATAGCTCCTGATCCCCCAGGCTCCTGTCTCATCTAACACAGATTTAGGAAGCTTAGAGAACACTAAGTAGGGTATATATAAAAAAGTATACACTGGCTGAGCACAGTGGCTATGCAGATAATCCCAGCACTTTGGGAGGCCGAGGCAGGAGGATCACCGGAGCACAGGAGTTTGAGACCAGAAAGGGCAACATGGTGAAACCCTGTGTCTACAAAAAATACAAAAAATTAACCGGGTGTGGTGGTATGTGACTGTAGTTCCAACTACTGGGAAGGCTGAGGCAGGAGAATCACCTGAGCCTGGGTGGTCGAGGTTGCAGTGAGCTGTGATCACACCTCTACATTCTAGCCTGGGTGATGAGAGTGAGACCCTGTCTAAAAAAAAAAAAAAAAAAGAAAGAAAAAATAAAAAAGTATACATCTTGACATATCATATTTAAATTGCAGGGCTGGGCGCAGTGGCTCATGCCTGTAATCCTGGTACTTTGGGAGGCCGAGGCAGGTGGATCACCTGAGGTCAGGAGTTCAAGACCAGCCTGGCCAGCATAGTAAAACCCCATCTCTACTAAAAATGCAAAAAATTAGCTGGGCGTGGTGGCGGGTGCCTGTAATCCCAGCTACTCGGGAGGCTGAGGCAGGAGAATTGCTTGGACCCGGAAGGCAGAGGTTGCAGTGAGTCGAGATCTTGCCATTGCACTCCAGCCTGGGCAACAATAGTGAAACTCCATCTCAAAAAAAGAAAAAAAAAAGAAAGCAGAAAACCAAAGACAAACAGAAAATCCTGAAAGAAGCCAAAGAAATAAGAACACCTTACACTTTACCCACAGTGGAACAAGCATAAAAATTCCATTGGACTACTCATCAGAAACCATGTGAACAACAAGAGAGTAGGGTGAAATATTTAATGTGTTAAAAGAAAAAAAAATCCACCAATCTAGAGTTCTATAAACTATTCTTCAAAAGTGAAGGAAATTAAGAGAATGAAAAGACAACCCAAGCCACAGACCGAGAGAAAATATTTGTGAAACATATGTCTCATAAAGGGTTTGTAGCTAAAATATACAAAGAACTGCTAAACCTCAACCATAAGGAAACAAACAACTCAACTAAAAGGTGGGTAAAAGACCTAACAGACATTTCACCAAAGGGGATATACGGATGGCAAATAAGCATATGAAAAGATGCACTTTAGGGAATTGCAAATTAAAACAACAATGGGGTACCACTTATAGAGTGGCAAAAATCCAAAACACTGACAATGCCAAATGCTGCGAAGTTGTGAAGCAATAGGAGCTCTCATTCATTGCTGGTGGAAATACAAAATGGTACAATCATTTTGGAAGACAGTTTGGCAATTTCTTATAAAGCTAAGCATAGTCTACCATACAATCCAGTGACGATGCTTCTAGGTATTTATTCCAATGAGTTGAAAGCTATGTCCACACAAAAGTCCGTGCATAAATGTTTACAGCAGCTTTATTCATAGTTGCCAAAAATGGGAGGCAACCAGTATGTCCTTAAATAAGCAAGTGGATAAACAAACTGTGGTACATCTGCATAAGGGGATATTATTCAGTGCTAAAAAAGAAATGAGCTTTCAAACCGTGAAAAGACATTGGAGGAATTTTAAATACACATTGCTAAGTAACATAAGTCAGTCTGAAAAGCTACATTCTATGTGATACCAACTATATGACATACTGGAAAAGGCAAAATGATAGAGCCAGTAAAAGGAGCAGTAATTGCAAGGGGTGGGACGTGGGGTGGGAAAGGGAAAAGGAGACGGATGAATAAAGGAAGCACAAAGGGTTTTTAGCGCAGTGAAACTACTCTGCACCATACTGTGGTGGATACCTGCCATTAGGCATTCCTCACATCCAAAAATATGTACAATGCAAAGAGTGAGTTCTAATGTAAACTAGGGATGTAATAATGTATCAGTATTGGTTTTTCATTGTAACAAATGTATCATACCAATGCAAAACGTTGATAAGGGAAACTGTGTGTGGATGGAAGTGACGGAGGAAACTGTGTACTCTCTGTTAATTTTTCTGTAAATCTAAAACTGCTCTAAAATATAGTATATGCTTTTTTTTAAAGCGAAGGAGAAATAAAGACCTTCTTAGACAAACAAAAATGAGGGAATTCGTCTCCAGCAGATCAGCCCTGTAAGAAAGTTGAAAGAAGCTCTTTATGGAGAGGAAAAATGATACAGGCCAGAAACTGGAATCCATGTGTTATGGTAGGTAGCTAGTGAGACATGAGCAGGGCAGTGCAGGAGAGGCCTCCCATTTCCCCTAACATACCACGGATGTCCAGCAACCATCAGGTGATGATGGTCAGGCAGTTGTTAACTGTCTCTCTAAAATAATAATTAGCTGCAGTCAGCACCAGGGAAAGGCAGTCTCCACATAGATAGGAAAAACCTAAATCTGGTAATCATCTGCTTCCCGATAAAATCTCAGGAGCTGGGCAAGTGACTTAAGCATGCACACTAAGAGGAGGTTTCCCCTATGCTGTTCTTGTGATAGTGAGTGAGTTCTCATGAGATCTGGAGGTTTTATAAATGGAAGTTTCCCCTCTCTCTGCTCTCTCTCTCTCCTGCTGCTACGTAAGATGTGCCTGTTTCCCCTTCACCTTCTGCCATGATTGTAAGTTTCCTGAGGTCTCCCCAGCCATGTGGAACTGTGAGTCAATTAAACCTCTTTCCTTTATAAATTACCCAGTCTCAGGTATTCTTTATAGCAGTGTGAAAAAGACTAATACAGGTGTAGTCATTCATAATAAAATGTTATGCTTTCTCTTGATGACTCAACCCAAATTCATCATGAGAAATAGCTCTTTACTTCTTTCCCACAAATCCTGTTATTAGCAGCTTTATGCGTTCACAGATCCCAAGAATATAGGAGCAGAAACACTTTTCCAAATGGGCTTAAGTGCTCTCTCTTCCAGCATTTCTCCCTGTGACTCTGATTAGGAGAGAAAAAGAAGAAAGAGGAGAAAGAAGAAGAGAAAAGTAGGGTAAAGGAAAGAAATTAACCGCCCCGTTCCAGTCCCCTGATCCAATGTGTTCAGGAAACTTTAGCAAAGTTTTCCTAAATACTTTAAATTCATTGTCAGTGGGAATAAATCTAAGGCAATTTTGTATAAATAAACAAACAGAGAAATAAATCAACTCAAGTACTAGAAACAAAATCCCTCTCAGATCACCAAGTCTACTGGGTTTCACTATGATTGATTTTATGTTTCTAATCACAAAATTTAAACAGAAGTACACCTAAGGTCTCAATAAGGGCCATCCTATAGTAGAGTCCAAGGATTGCTCATGGTTGACGTTGAACGACTTCAGTTATAAATTGTGGGAATCTTCAGCCAGAAGATAAATTCCAATTCCCACTTTAGGAAGAGGAAAGAAACTGAGAACAATAAGAATGTATTTGTTTGTCTGTTTGTTGACCATGCTTACTGTTTGGCCCTCAACTCTAAAAAATGGTTGTATTTATCTAATTATTATAAAATAAACCTATAAATAAATACTATTTATTATAAAATAATACTATAAAACAATACTATGTATTATAGTATTATTTTAAAGAGAGCATGGCAACACAAAAAATGCAGCAATCATCTTTCTGGGAGACAATATAAACTATGCATTAGTAAGTTAGATATTATTGCCGTTCTTACCTGGGATGACAGGCTACGCTGTTGAAAGACCCTCAGACCTGCACATCAGGACTTTGGCGATGAATGTGCCATGTGTGATCCTAGACAAACCCTAAATTTTTGTGTCCCTTTAAGTTTCTAATTTCCATATTGTGGATGTGCCCCTGTTTCACCTACCCACTGCTATGAGAAAGGAGAAAGGCAAGAAACATGAAACACTTTATTCTCCTTGGCAGAAAGGTGACTAGTCATGTTAAAGCTAAGCATCTACCCACAAGTCTGGACAGCATGGTCACGTTGAGTTGAACACACATTTATTGGGCACCTTTAATGGGTCCAGCAGTATGCTTGGTAGAGGGGGTTCAGGGATTCCTGCATCCCAAAGCTCAAAGTCTAGATGGGCAAATGGAAGCACACAGACAGTGATTCTAACTATGTTGCATTACCATCACTATGAAATGAGATACCCACTTTTCCTACACCCAGGAGTTCCTATAGGAGAGGAAGGAACATTCCTTTGACACATTTGTTCAACAGGTGTTTTCTGAGCAGCTCTTCTGTCCCAGGCACTGTGCTGAGGTTGTGCAGTGAACAAGATCACTCTGCCCTGACTCACGGTGCTTGCAGCAAATAATGGGGGCGTCTCAACAGTGATGAGGCAAGTCCTGGTTTCTAGTTATGTTATTTCTCTTAGGGAGGGGATGAGCAAGGTTTGGAGAAAGAAGGGAGGTTTCCCCAGTCATGTCATAGAGGAATGGGGTTAAGTTTTAAGGTTTCAACCTCTAATCTGGAGCCTTCTGAAACTTATAGAGCCTTCTGTGTTCTAAGATCCCAAGAACATAGGAGCAGAAACACTTTTCCAAATTGGCTTAAACACTCTCTCTTCCAGGATTTCTCTGTGACTCTGATTAAGAGAGAAAAAGAAGAAAGAGGAGGAAGAAGAGGAAGAGAAAAGTAGGGTAAAGGAAAGGCATTAACCCCCTACCCCGAATTCCAGTCCCCTAATCCAATGTGTTCAGGACATTTTAGCAAAGTTTTCCTAAATACTTTAAATTCATTGTCAGTGGGACTAAATCTAAGACAATTTTGCCGTGGGGACACTTGGCTCACTGTAGAGATATAACGGATCTAGCTCTGAAGGGACTTCACCAGTTTGCTGAGCATAAAAAACTAATTATGGGGCCTGATTAAGAAAAGTAGACATGTATGGCTTATTAACATAAAGTGGAGACTAATAATTGCTGATATGTGACTGATTCTGTGTTAGGTGCTTAACATGTCATGTTATTCCTTTCTCCCACCCTCTCTCCCTCCCTTCCCACATGATTATTGAGTGGTCTGGCACATGTCACTGAAGATACATTGCTGCCAACCCTTGTCCTCAAAGAGTGTGCTCTCAATTGGAAGAGACTGGCAGGTCCATGGGCAAGCCCAGTACGATGACATCCATGTGCTTATGATAGGGAGAATACAAGGTATCGTGGCAGGACATAAGAGGGACCCCTATTCAGCCTTGTGGGCACAAAGGCTCTGGAGGGGTGATATCTAAATTTGGACCTGAAGCATGAGTAGCAATTAGTCAGATAAGAGGAGAGGAGACAGCAGGAAAAAAGCCAATTTCAGGCAGAGAGAACAACCTCTGCAAAGAACCGAAGATAAGAGCAAGTCAAGAAAGTCCGACGTGGCTAAAGGGAACTAAAGTGCCAGGAGCTGTGGAGACTAAAGATAGGAGGTAGAGTGGTAAGAAAGGAACTGACAAGAGCTTGGCAAGCCAGGGTAAGAAATACCCTGAGGGCACTGGGAAGCCATTTAAGCTGGGGAGAGGACCAAGCCCACTCGCTCTTGCCAAAGATCTTTCTGGAGGGAGTGTGGAGAATAGGCTGGGAGGAGAAGCCAAGGTGAGAGGCAAAGAGACTGCTGCGATGATCTAGGAGGAAATGATGGCACCTGATCTAGGGATGGAGACAGCTAGAAAATTTGAAAGAGTTGCAATCAAAAGGATTTGGCGATTTATTTGAGGTGAGAGTGGTGTTGGAGAAGAAGATATTAGGGAGATGCCTAAGTTTTCTGGCGATGCATGTGGCACCTTAGCTGAGTAGAAAACAGATCTGTGAGGCTGGAGGAAGCAAAGATGATTCTGGTTTTGGACATTTGATTGGAAGAGCCTGAGAATCATGGGAGAGAGTCTATGGATCCAGAGCTCAGGAGAGAAATGTGAGCAGAGAGAAAAATACCTAGAAGTTGTTGGCATAAGGGTGGCAATTAAATTGTGAGATTTATTTTTACAACAATCCTTAAGGCAGATATTACTACCCTTGTTTCCTGAGAAGGAAGCTGGGGTTTGGGAACCATAAGTAACTTGCTCAAAATCAGTCAGGGAGCAGGAGAGCGAAGGCTTTTAATCTGTGCATTTCTACTCTGCAACACTGCTTCTGTGTAAATGCATTTTGGATTTGGCCGTATTGCTTGTATGGAGTAGTTTTCTACCTCTAAGAATTCTGGAAAGCATTCCCTTTTTTTTTTTCTTTCTTTCTTTCTTTCTTTTTTTTTTTTTTTTTACAGGAACTCACATGAAGAAATGTCACTGTTTATAGCTTGAACATTCCTTTTCGGGGGCAAAGACAAAATACATCAACTTTTTAATGGAATTTCTTTTTGCCTGGACAGAATGATGCTTGGTCCTGGAAAGTATTATAAATGTCCTTCCAAGTGAGGCCTGCAGTGATGGCAAGCCTGGGTGTCATACTGACAACTTGCCCCCTTGTGTGTCCCCTCACGCTAGACATCTCACAGGAGTGTTGGCAGAAGCAGACAGCCCATCTCCCTCACTGATAGAGGCTGCCTCCAGGCCTGCTGGCTCCCTGTTCAGCTACCCCTCCTTCTGGGACACCCGCTGATGTCACTTGTCTCCTCTCTACGGGGATTTCCACTTTTTGCCCCACCTGACCCACAAATTCTACCTCCTTTCCTAGTCCACGTAGTGCCATAGTTGAAGGCTTTTCTAGTTTCCCATTCAGAGGGAAGCTGGATGTTTATTGCAGTGACCTCATCCCTCTTGGCGTCCTCCTCCCACCCCCACCCCCCCCCCAGGAACTGCCATTTTCATTTGCATGGCCTCAGGGGTCTTCCACTGTGGCGGACCTGCTTCGTAGCTGACACGAAGGCTCAAGCTCTAACCTCTCACACTTTCTCATATAACAGCTCATCTGCTTGTGGAATACATTTGTTTGTGATTACAGGCCGCATACAATACCACTGCACAGGGCCCATGTGATGGCCCGGCGCCATGAGAAAACACATTAGTAATTTTTTATGACCCTAGTGCAACCATGCAGGATTTCCCTAAAACAGAAAACATGAAGGGATTTTATTGTCTTGCACTATTTAGACATCCCTTATGGCTGATGCGTGTATATTGGAACTAACAGAACACAGGACTTCCCAGACATTTTGAGTTGAGAGGTTTCTGACTTCAGTTAGTGAACACCCCCGGTTTATCTACTCTGGGGGAAGTAAAACGCACAAGGAAATTAAAAACGAAAGGCATCAAGGTCTAGAATATTTTTCTCGGTATAACTAACTTCTGTTCTTAGATGAGTTACTCTTAACAAGTTACTTCTGAGAGTAATGTGAGATGATAAACACTGGAAGAGACTGACCGGTGAATCCCCAGGAATTCTCACTGCTCCTTTTGAAAAACTGTCCATTAGACAAGAGAGGATCTGGCATTCCTATGTTTTCTCTCTTTGTGTCTCTCTCTCTGTCACACACACACTCACACTCACACACATACACACACACACCATCCCGTGGTGATGTCCAAGAAGAAGATAGTAGGCCTTCATTGGGTCTACTTACATGGCCTTAAGAATAAGCATATATAATTCCTACGAGAAACTATTCCATTTTTGGCACTGTTGCTGGTGTTAAACGTCCACCCAGGAGTTTTTTTGACAAACTAGCAGGAGAGAACTCGAGCGATTCTAGCCCTCTCAGAGGAACTACATTGGAATGTTTTACTGCCTATCTATGAAGGACAAACTGACTCTGAATCTGGCTGCTCTGGGAGTGTGTTCCCGAGTGTCCAGGGAATGAATATAAGTCAGCCAAGAGTATGAGAAGGCAGCAGACACCATGGAGAGACAACTTGCCCTAGAAAACAGACCATAGGAAAGGCCTTAGGAAAAATGATGCTGCCTTTTGAATAGATAGCGCTAGTAGTTGGCATGACGGTGCCAACTATTCAAATCACATATAAATTCGGCTGCCTTTTTAAGCTGTATATCAGCCTTCAAAAATATGCATTCCATTCAGTGACAAAGGGTGAGAACCTGGCTGAGCACTTTTGTTTTAAGAGCCATGGGAAAAACATGGGAGACAAAGCAGAATAATAAAGGACAATAATATTTGGTTTTCACGTACAACTATGCTACGGTTATAGTAACAAATTTGCCAAGGTTCAAACAGATTTAACCTCCCTTTAAAAACTAATCTGTTGGTGAGATACTGTGGCAGGAAAAGCTGTTCATGTCATCTTATTCCTAACAGAATGGAAAAGACCGGTTTATATGGTTTTTGCTCCTCCCCCTCACCTGTAGCCTCCACTGGGATTGGGTGTGATTATTGTCTCTTGCTCACAGCTCACAGGGAACATAGGGTGGGCTCACCCTCAAATGTAAAATGATATTGATATGCAACATCAAATGTAACCTTGAAATGAAAGACTGATTTGTGTATTTCCTTTTTAATATTCCGACTCATACATGTTGCCATTTCTACTCACTAGTTACCCTGGAGACTATGTTCTGAATGCTATTATATAAACATTAAAAGATATCTTTATTTAACCAATCAAACATTGGAAGGAAGCACTAGCTCAGTCAATCCTGCCAAGCCATCACAAGGAGATCCTGCTGTAAGAAGGAACTGGGTCGATCTCAGGGGCTAACCCAAGGTTAGGCTTCAGGCTATCTGTGAATTTGCATCTCCTCCTTGGAGAAAGGATCTTGTACTTTTTGGATTCACTGCACTGGGGAGTGAAGTGAATCGCTAAACCTCAAAGGCACATCCAGAGACTAACTAATTAATCCCAGCATTAAGGGAAGACCTGTCCACATTCCGTACACTGGTGAGGCTCATTATATGGTGTATGTAGATGCAATTCATGAACTGGGATATGAAGTCGTGGCAACTTAATCTTGACAGTGTTGTAATGAATAAAGCATGTCCAAAGCTTGGTAGGTTAGGTGATACCTCTGCAAAGCATCACCATGAACCTACCAATGGAAGCACATTTTAATTGTGTTTGGCTTCTTGTATCTCAGCTTTAGATCATGTAACCTGTGGAGAGCATCCATTGGTTGACATGTTTTGCTGAGTTATTTTGTAGTTTATGAGATGTGGAAGAAAGAAACTCGGCTCCCAGCTATTACCTAAGATTCACAGGGCTTTGCTCAATTTGCAAATGTTCTTTCTGTGGTTGACTTCATTAGCTTCTCTCCACCCCAGTTTTGGCTATTCTTAGAAGGGGAATTAAATCATTGAAATCCAAGCTTCTCAGGTTTCCCTGCCCCCAGGGAGAGTAGATTTAGAGTGTTCATAAGAAAATCAACTCACCCCTAATCAACTGGCTCAAAGAGACTCAAAGTGTTCCCCGCCCCCCGCCTTTGACAATCCTTCCAATAAAACTTCTTCACTTCTTCTGTCTTTAGGTGGGGAGCTCTCTCAGAAAGTTCACACAGTGAGTGTGGTTTGTGCATTCAATATTAAGATCTAATCATTGTCTCTTGAGGGCTGAAGAATGAAAACACTGGATAAGAGCCCACCTCCTGGCTTCACGCTTGTCAGGACCAGGATCTATTAACCTTTTAAAGAAATACTGATAATAAAAAGCAGACAAAGAGAGCCATGTGAATTGGCATCTAATCAATAATGTTCTGAGTTTTTTCCCCCTTAGGTTACTCAGAGCCGCGTGAGCAAACAAGATTTTACTGTTCCAAGCCCTGCTGTCTTGTGCATAATGCATAACTCTCTTGCACGCTCCCATTCTCTTCTGAGACATTTTATTATTATTATCATCATAGAAGAGGTCAGATTCCCTTTAATTAAAGGATATACAAGTCAGAAACTCCCCACCTCACTTTCCCCAAAATTAAAGAATTGCAAGGCTGGGTTTCCCTCCCATTGCCTCCTGGCTGGGCAGGACCCCAGTGGTAGGAGGTTGGGAGGATGTGGTACAAGGATGTGGTGTGAGGACCTGGTGCTGGGACCCGTGCCACCACGCCCAGGCAGCTGCTTTCTTTTTCTGCATTAGTTCCTCATGTTATTTGACCTAGAAACTTTGGATGTGGACTGCATCACATTTTTGGAATGATACATTTTACTCATTAAACCTTTTGCCCTATAGTTGATTTATTTCTCCTGGGCTAAAATTGGACTCATCCTGAAACAGGCGTCTTTGGCACAGCAGAAACTTCAGCACTAGCGAGTCTCCTCATAACTGGTGTCATGGGATGTTCTGGTTTACCCTTAGTTTACTTCCCCTGTCTGCCATCTCATCCACCCCTCCAGCCCTTCTCTCCTGCTCTCTCCAAATTCGGTCCCCACCCTTGACCCCTACTACATATATCACCGAAAGAAGAAATGCATAGATGACTCTTCCTGAGCAAAGTCGATTCCTTATTTCAGCATGGGTGTGCCTGATTTCCTAGGTGCATGCCAGGCAGCCCAAGAGTGGCATTGGTTTTGACCTGTCATCCTTAATCTCCACCGATGGGGTGTTTGAAGCACTGCCTAGCCAAGTTCACCTTGGTGGACCCTTTAGGGGAGCACTATGATGCCAAAAGAAATCACACAACATGAGGAAGAGGCAAATGAAAGGTAAATGGTAGTTTACAAGGACTTCTATTTTTCCATTAAAAACACAAAAAATCTATGTTCCAAGCTAGGACTTGAAATAGGTGTGGTCAGTGCCATTGGCCAGTCTCTGCGATAAATTCTCCTCTTAAGAAAAAAAGAGTAGGAGATTATTTAAAGCACCCACTTACTCTCACTAAGTTCAGATCCTCTCAAAATTAGACCAAGAAAAATCCATTTCTATATCAAGCATGCCTTCCAGAATGAACTTAAATGTACACAACTTTCCAGGCCCGATCTGAAATCCTGTTTGAATTCCAGCCAGGCCTTGACCCCAGGGGATGTGAGGAACAGGAGTGGCGAAACCAGTTATTGTCTATTTCGTTAGATGCTGGAGTTGAATTTGGGAGCATGATTAATGCTAGCTCCTTCTTCCCCTCCCTCCAGCCAAACGCTCAAATCACCCAGGCTTCTTGCAGGATAAACATGTCTGCTAGTTTGTTCCCAGGAATTCTCCTATAGTTTTCCTTGTAATATATTAATCTGCCCCTTTCATCGCCTTTCCCCCAACTTAACTGGCACCTTGCCCCTCCACTCTTTACCTGTTTGAACCTGGATTTGAAGGCTTGGATCCTCTTGGGAGTCTGTGCACATTTGTCAAAGCTTAGTCAAGGTCCCCCCAAGCCAGAATGGAGTTTGCTTTTCCTGTGTTTATGCTCTATTCCCAGGACCTCGCTTGTCTGTTTCTGGTGCTCAATCATTATTCCTGTGGAAGAAAGTAATTTTTAATAGTTTCAATAACTATTTAAAGAACCTGAACGAATATCCACATTTTAAAAGAACCCAGGCCTAATGTGTCCTCTTTCCCCAACCACTTCCCACAGTCACCCAACGTTTAGGGAGAGCCTTTGATGAGGCAGCAGCTTGGCTGTGTCTTCACTACACGATTCTATTCAATCTCACCACCAGCCTTTATGCAGGACTCTGCACATGGCAGGCTCTCGATAAATGGGCTCTGGTTAAGTGGACTACCTTATGGAACAGAGTTATCAGTATCAGCTGAACCTTTTTATTTTATTTGTTGAGACATGGTCTCACTGTATCACCCAGCCTGGGTTGCAGTGGCACAATCATGGCTCACTGCACCCTCAACTTCCTGGGCTCAAGCGATCCTCCCACATTAGCCTCCCAAATAGCTGGGACCACAGGTGCACACCACCACACTCAGCTATTTAAAATAAATTTTTTGTAGAGGCAGGTTCTCACTTTGTTGTCCAGGCTGGTCTCGAACTCCTGGGCTCAAGAGATCCTCCTGCCTTGGCCTCCCAAAGTGCTGGGATTACAGGTGTGAGCCACCACACTGAGCCAGCCTAACTTTAAAACGGAGAATAATGGAGCTCCAGCGTAATTAAGTGACTTAACCAACATACTGTGATCTGACTGATTTCGCCCTCTGTCCATCCCTTGTTTTCTTTGTCATATCCATGGCCCTTAAAGCCACTGTCCCACTGGTACCATAAAGAGGATTGTCTAACATCGCTCATTGCTTCAGAAATGCATGGTGCTATTTATGGAGACAGCATGGGTGACTGACCAGCGTGGTATTTTTCTTCTTGGCCTTTGGAATGTAGCCTACAGCATTTGCTCCAGAAAACCTCACACAGATTTGTGTTTGCAGAAAAGGGTCCAAAGACTTAATTATTTTTTGGGAGTGCTAGTATTTGTCCTTTGCTAACCAGGTCATCCTTCAGACAGAAAAAAATGCTGTGTATGACCCAGCCAAGGCCGCTGCTCAATGGAGTTGACGGCAGGCCAGAAACTCAAGGCCCTGCCCACAGGCCTGAGCATGTCCAGAGAGTGAAGTGCCAGAGGGCAGCTCTCTGTGTGCACCCCTGCATGCCTGTCTGTCTCCAAAGCCTTTGTTCAAGCCTGAAGGAGACTCTGAAAGCAATGCCCACTTGACCCTTCTTGATGGGTGTTTGCATTGAGCTGAATGAGAAAAAGGCAACCAGCCTCTTCAGACAGAAACAAGCAAAGCACCGTCCAACAGGCAGCACCATGGCCTGGGCATGTCCATGACTTGCAACGTCTCAAAATGTGCGTTTCCATTATTATCAGTGGAAGCTGCCACATCGGTCCCTCCTGGAAAGGGTATGTAGAAGTGTCATTAAGTAAAAACTTTAGAATTTCAACATTTGGTCTTTCTGCCTTCCCAACAACTGTTTTACAGATATGTTCACGTGACTAAGATTCTTGCTCAAAATCCCCGAGCATTTGAGAGTAAATTACCAAGGGCCCAAGTGGTGGGCCCTCTCATCTTCAACAGTGTGTTCTTGGGGGTCTTTGATTGGCCATAGGAGGGGTTTAATCTATGAGTCCATCGGAGCTGCTGGCTGTGATGACCCTAAAGGGAGAAGGGAACTCAGAGTCTGGAGGGGAAGGTGCAGCATTCACTCTATAAATACTTATTATATCTTCATGGTATGCAGAGCAGTGTGCTAGGTAGAGAAGGACTTGTAAGCAGGCCCCCTCCAAGCTCTCTAGATCAATTGACACCTACCAAGGAATCTCTGTTCCGGAAGATGCAACAATTCCAAATGTGGATGTCAGCAGCCCCTAGGGTACCCAGATAGTATTTATGTCAGCAAAACTACATTTAGAGTGACAATAATAATCTGAACTGGTGAGTCCTCTCATGAAATCAAGACTGATTTTATCCTTTCTTACATGTAGAAATTCCCAATGTGTGTTTTTTTTCTAAAAAAATTTTCAGCTTGTTTTAAAGCACACACAGCTACCATTTGTAGAGTTGTTGATAGATCAAATGGGAGAATGCACTTAAAGGACTTTCCTTTAAAAGGCAAAAAGGACTGTGTTTGTCCTCAGTAAATGTTAGCTGCTACGATCACCCTTGTCACGTCATTGTAGTTGTCATCATTGTTGTGTGTATTGCTCAATACTTTTTTTGCTTGCCTTTGAACAAGAGAAAAATCAATGAGATCTGAGAGGTCTGGAGTTAAAAATTTCCTCTTTATATTTTGACTTACACTTTTTGAGGTGTAAAGTGAAGATGAGTTTGCCTCAATTATTTATTTATTTTTTGAGACACAGTCTCGCTCTGTCGCCCAGGCTGGAGTGCAGTGGCGCCATCTTGGCTCACTGCAAGCTCCATCTCCCGGGTTCACACCATTCTCCTGCCTCAGCCTCCCGAGTAGCTGGTACTACAGGCGCCCGCCACCATGCCCAGCTAATTTTTT
The DNA here is from genome assembly GCF_000001405.40 of Homo sapiens. Taxonomy (NCBI): domain Eukaryota; kingdom Metazoa; phylum Chordata; class Mammalia; order Primates; family Hominidae; genus Homo; species Homo sapiens. The sequence goes on along the minus strand of NW_014040928.1, from coordinate 152,374 downwards.
GTATTTTTAGTAGAGATGGGGTTTCACCATAGCCAGGATGGTCTCAATCTCCTGACCTCATGATCCACCCACCTTGGCCTCCCAAAGTGCTGGGATTACAGGTGTGAGCCACCACACCCAGCCGAGTTTGCCTCCATTTTTAAACTGCTGGCCCTTGTGTGAGCAACAATGGACATCCCATTTTAATGGGATTATCCTGCAATTTAGTACCTTTGTCAAGGAACCTGAAAAATTCAAAGAGCCTGTGTACATGCTTCATATCTTATTGACACTAAACCTTGGAAGTGGAGAAGAGAAGGGACTCAGCATTTACTAAAAGTATAGCATGTTCTAGGTATTTCTTATAGGCTATGGGATGAATTCCCAAGATTCATATGTTGTGTCCCTTCCCAAAATTCCTATGTTGAAGTCCTAATGCCTAGTACCTCAGAATGTGACTTTATTTAAAGAGGTAATTAAGGTAAAATGAAGTCGTATGGGTGGGTCTGAATCCAAATATGCTTGGTTTCCCTATATGAAGAGAAGATTAGGACACACATACACGCAGAGAGGAGACCATAAGAAAACACAGGGAGAAGGCGGCTGTCTACAAGCCAAGGAGAGAGGCCTCAGAAGAAACCAATCCTGCCAACACTTTGATCTCAGATTCCAGCCTCCAGAACCATGAGAAAAGGGAATTTTGTTTTTTAAGCCACCCAGTCTGTGGTACTTTGTTATGGCAGCAGTAGCAAACTAATACAACATATATTAACTCATTGAATCCTTTGTACAAACCAATGCATTACTACCACCAATTTGTAGGTAAGAAAATTAGTGATTTGAGATATAAGGAACTTGTCCATGGCCTCACAGGTGGTCAACTAGCTTGGCCAGGCTTTGAATCCAGTTCTTCTTGAGAATATCTGACTTAAAAAATATTAACATTTATTATTTATTATTCCTATTGACTTCCAGAAGATAATATCTAATTCAGGTAAGCACCCCACCAAGATGACTAAAGACATGCAGATCCACATAGGTGCTTCAGGTAAAACAGGAGAAAAACACATTGGCTCTTTATAGAAAAAGTGGAACCCAAGTCCCACAAATATTGCTTGAACTCAGCATAATGTTGCCTTTACCTTCCATAAGCCATGGATTTTTATAGAAGCCTTCAAGAAATGGAGCTTATGATGTCAAAAGCACATGGATTGTAGGCAGAATAAGAGGCTTTTTTAAAAAATTATGTTTTGTAAGTGTTGTGTTATGATACATGGACACCCACTCTAAAACCAAAAATGTTTTTCCAAACAAGATCCTAAAAGTGTTTGCCCCAGTTAGTCTAAGATAGCCCTTATGGCAATGCCAAAGATTAAAGTTTGTGTTCACAGTTGTTTTAAACCAAGATATTACTCTCTGGCTTTTCAATCATATTTTTATTCCTTTTGTGCATCTCATCAAAGCATTTCGATTAGAACAAGTCATTGAGAAGGCAGAAGCCAAAATAAACAGTCGAGTTTAAATTACTACAGTGAAGGGACCACAGTTGCACTCAGGCCCAAGTTATGGGGACTTTTAATGATTCTACGAGGTTCTAGTATTTATGGAATTGGCTTGCACATATATTTTTTTTCTTCCTGATTTATTTCTGAGTTCTAAAGCCATCCATGAATTTTAATCCTAGTCTATCTTGTCAAATTTTTTTTCTGATAGGGTTCTCAGAGGTTCCAGTCAGCTGAGGGTTTACTTTTCCTTGGAGCTTATTAACTCCCATCACTTGGCCTGAACCAATAACCTCTGTCCAGCAGCCTGGCCACGTCACCCATGTTTGCTACATGTGAACCAGGGGTGCTTGCCAGCTCCACTGCTTCTATCCCTGCTTTAAGAAGTAAACAAGAAAAGATGTCATCAATTGGAAATAAAGCTAGGGTACAAATTCACTCCCAGATGTTAATATTTGCTGGTGTCTTTCTGGACTGGTCAGGAGACGCTGTGACGTGATTAGAAACACACTTTTTGAAGATGAACAGAGTTGGCTTAAATCCCTACTGCCACCTTCAAGTCATGTGACTTTGAGTACATTACTTGATCAACCCAGGCCTTGGTTTCCTCATTTGTTAAGTAAAGATAACAACCACCTGGCAGTTTTGTTGCAAAGAGTAAATGAAATAACACAGGTGACGTGTGTAGGCTAGCATCTGATGCAAGGTAGATGCATAAAACGAAGACCGTGCATACATGGTTGATGACTTCACTAATGTAACTTCCAGTGCTTTTTGTGTGGTTGAGATTCCATTTTCAACAGGACAAAGTCTGCTTGCAGAGGAGAAATACCACGGCAGCTTGATGTGCAATTGGGACTTAACCTCATACAAGACCCAAGAGTCCCCACGGAGGGCATTCTCCATGTGTTTCAACTTGGTGCATCATTCACCAAGCATGTTCCCTCCGGAAAAGCAGGAGACCGCCCAAGGTTTGGATGAGTTCAGGGAAGCATCTGAACTTTTTGGGAGCTATCCCATCAAAACTAGAGTTGTCTGGGTTTTGACCGCTGGGGCCAATATTATTTTCTGTCTGGGCTTTTAAAAAAGATCAGAACATTGGGTTAGTATTCCCTGTTCTCTATGTCATTAGAAGCTCTTCAGCATGAAGATTCCACTAATTTCAACCAGAATCGAGTGGATAAAAGAGATGAGTAACGTGAGAAAATGAAATGAGGAGATTGGCACTCAGTGGGGGAAGTTAGGGACTCCAAGGAGAAAAATAAAAGCTGTCTTCATCAACTGGCCCAAGACAGTGGGGGGAGTTTATTAAATGTGATTCTTTCCAGCACTCTATTCTAAATCTCTCCTACATTACATAAATCAGAGTCAGAAATATTTGGGTTTGAATTCTATTTCTGACATCTATCAGATGGGGTGACTTCTTACAAACTCCAACAGCCTCAGTTTCCTCATTGGTAAAATAGAAATATTAGTAAATATCATGTAGGATCATTCATTCATTCATTCATCAACAATATTTGTAAAGCACTTGGTCTGGCATATAGCAAGCATCCAATAAAAAGTGGCCCCCCTTCACCTTAAATTTTCTGTGGAATCTTATAATCCATATACTTAGATTTTAAGGATTTCATATTTATACTCCAACTTTTTTTCATTTTGCTTAGGAATATATTCTCACCTTTATGAAAAACACACTTGACCTTTTAGAAACCACATAGAAAAAATTTAAATAAGAGAATGTGTTCTTTTAAAATCAAACCAATATTATCGATCCTCACTAAGGTGTAAAGCTCAATCTATGGAATGCTTCTCTATTCACTTGAATGAATATTCATGACAAATACAACTTAGCTACACCCAAATGTGTATCCAATGCCGCTATGCCATAAAATAGCTTGACAGTTAGGCACCAGGTCAGAATTGTGGTCAGTGACCCAGTGCCCATGGACCCAGCACACTCCCCCTACCCCCAGCTCCATGAGGGGTTCCAGAAACTTCCACTCATGCTGGACTTTCTTCCAGTGCCATGAAGGCCAGCAGAGTGAAGGCAGCCATTTTGCCTTCATAGAGTGTAGGCCTTTGCAGGGCTTTTAATACTTCCCCCAAATAGTATTGTTTGTCTCACAAACTTAAATAACTTATTTGGGAGTAGTGTCCTTTTGTTTCTCCCCCATTTTGATCTTTGGTCCCTTTTTCTTTCAGCTTCCTGGGTATCCTCCTGACTTATCTAGGACTGAATCTTGCAGTACTCTGAAGAAAACTGTGATGTGAAATACCACACATTGCTTTCATTAATATGTCACATTAAATCGAAAATCTCAAATCCAAATCAAAAGTTGGATCTCTTAACGTTGTTCATACTTTAGGAAAGTCTGAGGGCTGGGAATAATCTTTCTCATGGGCCAAACACACATACACACACAGACACACACACACACAGACACACATGCACACACTGCAGATTCTAATGGTTCCCAACACTTCTTTTTTACCTCCTCACCATCATGTATGTAACGTATTCCCATCAGTGACATTTCTCCTCAAGGGCAGTGATTCTGGGTGATTCTGGCCAACTTGTAGCTTGAAAAAGTCCCTCTTCCTGCCCCACAGTCTTGAGAATCACATTTCTAATCTCATCAAGAGAATTGGATTCCTCCCGCCTGCTCTGATGGCTTTATTGAGGAAAGCTTGCCCACACTGTCACGCTTTGAAGGAAACAAAATCAACACCTTAAACTGTTTTGGAGATAAAGGGCCCTTTTGGAATTCCTTCAGGGCTTGCCCAGATAGCTCCACTGACAGCCTCTCTGCAGTCGCCATGTGTCCGCCATAGTGACTTGTTGCTCGGCCTGCCACGCCTCCTGCTGGGGCCAGAAAACTTCTGGCCCCTCCTTCTTGCACAGGAACAGAGAGAAGGATCGCCAGACAAAGGCTTAGGTTTTCCTTATAAAAACACAATGACCTGCTAAGAGATTGTGTAGTGGGCCCAGAATAAAAACAAACAAAATAAAACAAAACAGAAATTTTTCCCCATATTTATAATATCAAGAGTTCAAATTTCCTGACAGCAAATAAGTCAAGGAGACTTACAGGGGAAAACAAAATAAAGCATATCTCCTTGGGAAGAGTTCTCAGAATGTTTCACTTCCTAGAGTTGCCTGAACTGTGACCTGTGAGAATGCACCAAATGAGGCTGTCATTCAAGGCCCCTCCAATCCCTCTCATCTTTTCCATCAAAGAACAAGACTGACACAAGAGAAAAAAAGATGGCCAGCCCGGTGGTTCATGCCTGTAACCCCAGCACTTTGGGAGGCCGAGGAGGGCAGATCGCTTGAGCTCAGGAGTTCGAGACCAGCCTGGGCAACATGGGGAAACCCAATCTCTACAAAAAATACGAAAATTAGCCAGGCGTGGTTGTGCATGCCTATAGTCCCAGCTACTCGGTGTGGGGGCAGGGGGTGCTGAGGTGGGAGGATCACTTGCACCTGGGGAGGTTGAGGCTATAATGAGCAGAGATCCAGTCACTGCAGACTGTGTCTCAAAAAAAAAAAAAAAAAAAAAAGAAGAAAAACAGAAAAAAGAAAGATTGGCACCACTTGCCATGTCAGGAAAGAGGGTAAAAGAGCAGAAAAAAGAAGGAAAGAGATTAACGGACATAATATGCAGGGACTGACACCGAAATGCCATTTTCCTGGAAGGGAAGCCTCTCTCTGCCTGGTTGTGTGTGTGGGATGTGGAACTTTCAGCTACTGAGTCCTGGGGCTGGCATCAAAACCTGCCCTTTGAGCTGGTGATGCATTCCTGCCAATAGCCTTGCTTAAACTAGTTATGCCTTTTATTTAAGTTGGAAGAAAAGGGTATCTTTCTTTTTTTTTTGTTTTCTTTTGTTTTTTTTTTATTATTATTTTTTATTATACTTTTAAGTTTTAGGGTACATGTGCACATTGTGCAGGTTAGTTACATATGTATACATGTGCCATGCTGGTGCGCTGCACCCACTAACTCGTCATCTAGCATTAGGTATATCTCCCGATGCTATCCCTCCCCCCTCCTACCACCCCACAACAGTCCCCAGAGTGTGATATTCCCCTTCCTGTGTCCATGTGATCTCATTGTTCAGTTCCCACCTATGAGTGAGAATATGCGGTGTTTGGTTTTTTGTTCTTGGGATAGTTTACTGAGAATAATGATTTCCAATTTCATCCATGTCCCTACAAAGGACATGAACTCATCCTTTTTTATGGCTGCATAGTATTCCATGGTGTATATGTGCCACATTTTCTTAATCCAGTCTATCATTGTTGGACATTTGGGTTGGTTCCAAGTCTTTGCTATTGTGAATAATGCCGCAATAAACATACGGGTGCATGTGTCTTTATAGCAGCATGATTTATAGTCCTTTGGGTATATATCTAGTAATGGGATGGCTGGGTCAAATGGTATTTCCAGTTCTAGATCCCTGAGGAATCGCCACACTGACTTCCACAATGGTTGAACTAGTTTACAGTCCCACCAACAGTGTAAAAGTGTTCCTATTTCTCCACATCCTCTCCAGCACCTGTTGTTTCCTGAGTTTTTAATGGTTGCCATTCTAACGGGTGTGAGATGGTATCTCATTGTGGTTTTGATTTGCATTTCTCTAATGGCCAGTGATGATGAGTATTTTTTCATGTGTTTTTTGGCTGCATAAATGTCTTCTTTTGAGAAGTGTCTGTTCATGTCCTTCGCCCACTTTTTGATGGGGTTGTTTGTTTTTTTCTTGTAAATTTGTTGGAGTTCATTGTAGATTCTGGATATTAGCCCTTTGTCAAATGAGTAGGTTGCGAAAATTTTCTCCCATTTTGTAGGTTGCCTGTTCACTCTGATGGTGGTTTCTTTTGCTGTGCAGAAGCTCTTGAGTTTAATTAGATCCCATTTGTCAATTTTGTCTTTTGTTGCCATTGCTTTTGGTGTTTTAGACATGAAGTCCTTGCCCATGCCTATGTCCTGAATGGTAATGCCTAGGTCTTCTTCTAGGGTTTTTATGGTTTTAGGTCTAACGTTTAAGTCTTTAATCCATCTTGAATTGATTTTTGTATAAGGTGTAAGGAAGGGATCCAGTTGCAGCTTTCTACATATGGCTAGCCAGTTTTCCCAGCACCATTTATTAAATAGGGAATCCTTTCCCCATTGCTTGTTTTTCCCAGGTTTGTCAAAGATCAGATAGTTGTAGATATGCGGTGTTATTTCTGAGGGCTCTGTTCTGTTCCATTGGTCTATATATCTGTTTTGGTACCAGTACCATGCTGTTTTGGTTACTGTAGCCTTGTAGTATAGTTCGAAGTTAGGTAGTGTGATGCCTCCAGCTTTGTTCTTTTGACTTAGGATTGACTTGGCGATGCCGGCTCTTTTTTGGTTCCATATGAACTTTAAAGTAGTTTTTTCCAATTCTGTGAAGAAAGCCATTGGTAGCTTGATGGGGATGGCATTGAATCTGTAAATTACCTTGGGCAGTATGGCCATTTTCACGATATTGATTCTTCCTACCCATGAGCATGGCATGTTCTTCCATTTGTTTGTATCCTCTTTTATTTCCTTGAGCAGTGGTTTGTAGTTCTCCTTGAAGAGGTCCTTCACATCCCTTGTAAGTTGGATTCCTAGGTATTTTATTCTCTTTGAAGCAATTGTGAATGGGAGTTCACTCATGATTTGGCTCTCTGTTTGTCTGTTGTTGGTGTATAAGAATGCTTGTGATTTTTGTACATTGATTTTGTATCCTGAGACTTTGCTGAAGTTGCTTATCAGCTTAAGGAGATTTTGGGCTGAGACAATGGGGTTTTCTAGATATACAATCATGTCGTCTGCAAACAGGGACAATTTGACTTCCTCTTTTCCTAATTGAATACCCTTTATTTCCTTCTCCTGCCTAATTGCCCTGGCCAGAACTTCCAACACTATGTTGAATAGGAGTGGTGAGAGAGGGCATCCCTGTCTTGTGCCAGTTTTCAAAGGGAATGCTTCCAGTTTTTGCCCATTCAGTATGATATTGGCTGTGGGTTTGTCATAGATAGCTCTTATTATTTTGAGATACGTCCCATCAATACCTAATTTATTGAGAGTTTTTAGCATGAAGGGTTGTTGAATTTTGTCAAATGCTTTTTCTGCATCTATTGAGATAATCATGTGGTTTTTGTCTCTGGCTCTGTTTATATGTTGGATTACATTTATTGATTTGTGTATATTGAACCAGCCTTGCATCCCAGGGATGAAGCCCACTTGATCATGGTGGATAAGCTTTTTGATGTGCTGCTGGATTCGGTTTGCCAGTATTTTATTGAGGATTTTTGCATCAATGTTCATCAAGGATATTGGTCTAAAATTCTCTTTTTTTGTTGTGTCTCTGCCTGGCTTTGGTATCAGAATGATGCTGGCCTCATAAAATGAGTTAGGGAGGATTCCCTCTTTTTCTATTGATTGGAATAGTTTCAGAAGGAATGGTACCAGTTCCTCCTTGTACCGCTGGTAGAATTCGGCTGTGAATCCATCTGGTCCTGGACTCTTTTTGATTGCTAAGCTATTGATTATTGCCACAATTTCAGCTCCTGTTATTGGTCTATTCAGAGATTTAACTTCTTCCTGGTTTAGTCTTGGGAGAGTGTATGTGTCCAGGAATTTATCCATTTCTTCTAGATTTTCTAGTTTATTTGCGTAGAGGTGTTTGTAGTATTCCCTGATGGTAGTTTGTATTTCTGTGGGATCGATGGTGATATCCCCTTTATCATTTTTTATTGCATCTATTTGATTCTTCTCTCTTTTTTTCTTTATTAGTCTTGCTAGTGGTCTATCAATTTTGTTGATCCTTTCAAAAAACCAGCTCCTGGATTCATTAATTTTTTGAAGGGTTTTTTGTGTCTCTATTTCCTTCAGTTCTGCTCTGATTTTAGTTATTTCTTGCCTTCTGCTAGCTTTTGAATGTGTTTGCTCTTGCTTTTCTAGTTCTTTCAATTGTGATGTTAGGGTGTCAATTTTGGATCTTTCCTGCTTTCTCTTGTGGGCACTTAGTGCTATAAATTTCCCTCTACACACTGCTTTGAATGCGTCCCAGAGATTCTGGTATGTTGTGTCTTTGTTCTCGTTGGTTTCAAAGAACATCTTTATTTCTGCCTTCATTTCGTTATGTACCCAGTAGTCATTCAGGAGCAGGTTGTTCAGTTTCCATGTAGTTGAGCGGTTTTGAGTGAGATTCTTAATCCTGAGTTCTAGTTTGATTGCACTGTGGTCTGAGAGATAGTTTGCTATAATTTCTGTTCTTTTACATTTGCTGAGGAGAGCTTTACTTCCCAGTATGTGGTCAATTTTGGAATAGGTGTGGTGTGGTGCTGAAAAAAATGTATATTCTGTTGATTTGGGGTGGAGAGTTCTGTAGATGTCTATTAGGTCTGCTTGGTGCAGAGCTGAGTTCAATTCCTGGGTATCCTTGTTGACTTTCTGTCTCGTTGATCTGTCTAATGTTGACAGTGGGGTGTTAAAGTCTCCCATTATTAATGTTTGGGAGTCTAAGTCTCTTTGTAGGTCACTCAGGACTTGCTTTATGAATCTTGGTGCTCCTGTATTGGGTGCATATATATTTAGGATAGTTAGCTCTTCTTGTTGAATTGATCCCTTTACCATTATGTAATGGCCTTCTTTGTCTCTTTTGATCTTTGTTGGTTTAAAGTCTGTTTCATCAGAGACTAGGATTGCAACCCCTGCCTTTTTTTGTTTTCCATTGGCTTGGTAGATCTTCCTCCATCCTTTTATTTTGAGCCTATGTGTGTCTCTGCACGTGAGATGGGTTTCCTGAATATAGCACACTGATGGGTCTTGACTCTTTATCCAATTTGCCAGTCTGTGTCTTTTAATTGGAGCATTTAGTCCATTTACATTTAAAGTTAATATTGTTATGTGTGAATTTGATCCTGTCATTATGATGTTAGCTGGTTATTTTGCTCGTTAGTTGATGGAGTTTCTTCCTAGTCTCGATGGTCTTTACATTTTGGCATAATTTTGCAGCAGCTGGTACCGGTTGTTCCTTTCCATGTTTCGTGCTTCCTTCAGGAGCTCTTGTAAGGCAGGTCTGGTGGTGACAAAATCTCTCAGCATTTGCTTGTCTGTAAAGTATTTTATTTCTCCTTCGCTTATGAAGCTTAGTTTGGCTGGATATGAAATTCTGGGTTGAAAATTCTTTTCTTTAAGAGTGTTGAATATTGGCCCCCACTCTCTTCTGGCTTGTAGGGTTTCTGCCGAGAGATTCGCTGTTAGTCTCATGGGCTTCCCTTTGAGGGTAACCCGACCTTTCTCTCTGGCTGCCCTTAACATTTTTTCCTTCATTTCAACTTTGGTGAATCTGACAATTATGTGTCTTGGAGTTGCTCTTCTCGAGGAGTATCTTTGTGGCGTTCTCTGTATTTCCTGAATCTGAACGTTGGCCTGCCTTGCTAGATTGGGGAAGTTCTCCTGGATAATATCCTGCAGAGTGTTTTCCAACTTGGTTCCATTCTCCGCATCACTTTCAGGTACACCAATCAGACGTAGATTTGGTCTTTTCACATAGTCCCATATTTCTTGGAGGCTTTGCTCATTTCTTTTTATTCTTTTTTCTCTAGACTTCCCTTCTCGCTTCATTTCATTCATTTCATCTTCCATCGCTGATACCCTTTCTTCCAGTTGATCGCATCGGCTCCTGAGGCTTCTGCATTCTTCACGTAGTTCTCGAGCCTTGGTTTTCAGCTCCATCAGCGCCTTTAAGCACTTCTCTGTATTGGTTATTCTAGTTATACATTCTTCTAAATTTTTTTCAAAGTTTTCAACTTCTTTGCCTTTGGTTTGAATGTCCTCCCGTAGCTCAGAGTAATTTGATCGTCTGAAGCCTTCTTCTCTCAGCTCGTCAAAGTCATTCTCCATCCAGCTTTGTTCCGTTGCTGGTGAGGAACTGCGTTCCTTTGGAGGAGGAGAGGCGCTCTGCTTTTTAGAGTTTCAAGTTTTTCTGTTCTGTTTTTTCCCCATCTTTGTGGTTTTTATCTACTTTTGGTCTTTGATGATGGTGATGTACAGATGGGTTTTTGGTGTGGATGTCCTTTCTGTTTGTTAGTTTTCCTTCTAACAGAGAGGACCCTCAGCTGCAGGTCTGTTGGAGTACCCTGCTGTGTGAGGTGTCAGTGTGCCCCTGCTGGGGGGTGCCTCCCAGTTAGGCTGCTCGGGGGTCAGGGGTCAGGGACCCACTTAAGGAGGCAGTCTGCCCCTTCTCAGATCTCCAGCTGCGTGCTGGGAGAACCACTGCTCTCTTCAAAGCTGTCAGACAGGGACATTTAAGTCTGCAGAGGTTACTGCTGTCTTTTTGTTTGTCTGTGTCCTGCCCCCAGAGGTGGAGCCTACAGAGGCAGGCAGGCCTCCTTGAGCTGTGGTGGGCTCCACCCAGTTGGAGCTTCCCGGCTGCTTTATTTACCTAATCAAGCCTGGGCAATGGCGGGTGCCCCTCCCCCAGCCTCGCTGCCGCCTTGCAGTTTGATCTCAGACTGCTCTGCTAGCAATCAGCGAGACTCCGTGGGCGTAGGACCCTCCGAGCCAGGTGCGGGATATAATCTCACAGTGCGCCGTTTTTTAAGCCCGTCGGAAAAGCGCGGTATTCGGGTGGGAGTGACCCGATTTTCCAGGTGCCGTCCGTCACCCCTTTCTTTGACTCAGAAAGGGAACTCCCTGACCCCTTGCGCTTCCCAGGTGAGGCAATGCCTCGCCCTGCTTCGGCTTGCGCACGGTGCGCGCACCCACTGACCTGCGCCCACTGTCTGGCACTCCCTAGTGAGATGAACCGGGTACCTCAGATGCAAATGCAGAAATCACCCGTCTTCTTTGTCGCTCACGCTGGGAGCTGTAGACCGGAGCTGTTCCTACTCGGCCATCTTGGCTCCTCCCCCCGAAAAGAGTATCTTTCAACCAAGAAGATGGCTTTGGCTGCCTGCGTGGACCTGTGCTTCTCTCTCTGGGCACTGCCTGTTTCTAGAAGGTGTTTCCTCTCAGTCCAGAGTTATAGGTACAATAGCATGCAAGAGAGGCAGATAGTTAAGAAAAAAAAAAAAAAGAAAGAAAGAAAATCACATACTATCTAATTACAAACTGTGGTCAATGCTATGCCATTTTCTGTGAACAAATGTTATTAATATTATGGTAAAGGCCAGTCTCATCCAAATATCAAATTTATGTTTTAAGTCTTCACAGGTAGGAATAATGGCCACTGACACCTAGTTTCTTTTTCTTTCTTCTTCTTTCTTTTTTTTTTTTTTTTTGAGACAGAGTCTTACTCTGTCACCCAGTCTGGTGCGATCACGGCTCACTGCAACCTCTGCCTCCCGGGGTCAAGTGATTCTCCTGCCTCAGCCTCCGGAGTAGCTGGGATTACAGGCGCACCACCACACCCAGCTAATTTTTGTATTTTTAGTAGAGATGGGGTTTCACCATGTTGGTCAGGCTGGTCTTGAATCCCTGACCTCGTGATCCTCCCACCTCGGCCTCCCAAAGTACTGGGATTAAAGGCGTGAGCCACCCCACTGAGCCCCTAGTTTCTTATTATAGCTAAATTCTATTTTTGTGGCATGAGTTTGATACTAAGGTTGAAATTCCATAAAAACAGAAAGTGGTGATCAGGCCTAAGAAAATACTGCAGCGGCTGGAAAAGTTCAAGGATGAGTCAGGGTCCACCATGGAACCGGTCTCTTTGTCCAGAGGAAAGGAAATCTCCACCTGTCATGAAATGCAGGGAGGAGGTGGGTAGAGTAGAAATAGTGAGACAGGGACATTTGACTAAGTGTCTGGGCACCCTGTTAGATTCAAATTTGGGGGAAAGAATACCACTCATTTGACAATATTGCTAATCAGAAATTCACTACTGTTCAGTGGAATTGTACACACCTAAAGAAGAGTTAAGCTGCTACAGGTGACGGGTTTATAAGAGGTCCCCAGGGGCAGGGGTTGGGCCCATTTGAAGCAGGCGTATGGCAGCAGTTATTTGCCTTGCATTGAAAGAATGTTCTGTTAAATGTGATGTGAATATATCATGTTTCTCTTAGAGCGGGCTGTGAATTGCAGATGTCATCTAACTAATTCTCACAGCATCCCTGGAAAGCAGGACATGAATGGGAAATGGTTTCATTCATCTGTGTCTGGCAACATTTATGAATTATTAACAGGAGAATGTGAATTTCCCTGGGGGGAAAAAAAACTACCCTGCAAAGGTAGGGGAATTGAAAGGAAGAATTAGCAGATGTTAGAAAAGGGTGGAGTAGTAAATAATGATGTGAAATTCAAATTTGAAGAAAGAAGATTTTGAGAGAACCTGACAGCGGACCGGTCTTATTGGGGGTAAAGCAGAAATCTCAGATGCTTTGATGTGGAGACAGAGGAAGAGGATGGGCAATTAATTCTATACGACAATTCTTACACAGTTAGGCATTGTTTACACAGAAAAGTTGCAGTCCCCTGAGACTGGTTGAAGACTCATCTTAAGTCCTGTTTTTTTGTTGTTGTTGTTGTTGTTTTTGAGACAAAGTCTCCTCTGTCACCCAGGCCAGAGTGCAGTGGTGCAATCACTGCTCACTGCAGCCTCAACCTCCTGGCCACAAGTTTTCCTCTCATCTCAACCTCCTGAGTAGCCAGGACTATAGATATGTATCACCATGCCCAGCTAATTTTTTAAATTTTTTGTAGAGACAGGGTCTCACTATGTTGTCCAGGCTGGTCTCAAACTCCTGGGCTCAAGCAATCTACCCACCTTGGCCTCCCAAAGCTCTGGGATTACAAGTGTGAGCCACTGCCCCTGGCCAAGTTCTGTTTTTAATAGAAACACCTCCCTATTTATTAAAACAATGGCTACCATGTAGTAGGTACTCATGAAGCACCAGACAGACTTACTGCATGTAGTCTTTTCAACAACTCGATGACACCTCATTAATTATTCTTGTCTAACAATGAGGGCCTCATTGCCGAATGGCTTTTTTTGGGGGGGACATGGTCTCCCTCTGTTGCCCAGGCTGGAGTGCAATGGCCCGATTTTGGCTCACTGCAACCTCTGTGTCCTGGACTCCAGCGATCCTCCCACCTCAGCCTCCTGAGTACTGGGATTACAAGTGTGTGCCACCACACCCGCCTAATTTTTTGTATTTTAGTAGAGACGGGGTTTCACCGTGTTGGTCAGGCTGGTCTCAAACTCCTGACCTCAAATGATCCACCCGCCTCGGCCTTCCAAAGTGCTGGGATTACGGGTGTCAGCCACCGCGCAAGGCCCTGAATGGCTTTCTGAAATTAAAGGGGTGGTAAAAGTCAGGGCCAGACATCAGACCCACTCCTGCCTGCTGGCAAAGCCTCTGCTTGTGCCCGCGCATCACACGGTCTTCTCTCAGGGCAGTGGGGTCGTAGCAAGAGGGAAACAATGGTCACATTTCTAAGGGGTGAATAATGAGGAAAACTAAAGTTTAGGTTTCTGAACCTTTGAATGAAACCTAGGCATTGCTCTTAGAAAAAGAATGAGATGAAGAAGCGAGAAAATATTCCATGTGCAATCAAAATACCTTGTGTTACTCTTTCCTGCTTCAACTGCAAGGGCGTGGTGTGCAGTAATTGTCTCGAAGGCCACATGTCAATGGGGGACCAGCGTGCTCAGGCAGTGTCTTCCCATAGACTGTCCTCGTGATGTCACCCCTCCCGGCATCCCCAGTGCTCACCTGGTCACCAACATGGTCTGGATTACTTGTCTTGGTCAGCCACTGTGCTGAGTGCAAGAAGGAACCCTCTCCTACCAGCAATCGATTCTTTTTTTAATTTTTATTTTTTAAGATGGAGTCTCGCTCTGTCGCCCAGGCTGGAGTGCAGTGGCAAGATCTCGGCTCACTGCAACCTCTGTCTCCAGGGTTCAAGTGGTTCTCCTTCCTTAGCCTCCCGAGTGGCTGGGATTACAGGCATGAGCAGCCATGCCTGGCTAATTTTTGTATTTTTTAGTAGAAATGGGATTTCGCCATATTGGCCAGACTAGTCTCGAACTCCTGACCTCACGTGATCCGCCCACCTCGGCGTCCCAAAATGCTGAGATTACAGGCGTGAGCCACCGTGCCTGGCCTGATTCTTTTACAGAGATCTTCCCAGTCTGTTTCTCACAAAGTCTCCAGGTGAGCACTCTGTGAACTCACGAGTTCAGATATCACAGTCTTCCTCTTCAAAGAGACTTGGCCCAAGCTGCCAAAGGGGTTGACTGAGAAGGCAGCTCGAGTGTGGCCCCACATGTAGTACCCACCAGCACCCCTTACTGCAAATGTCCCATTCAGTTTTCTCCCATCAGAAGAAGTGCCTCTCCTGAGTGCTGCCCCTGAAGCCTGGAGCTTCAGGGGTGGCCCTCACCTCAGAGTCTAGGTCCTGCTACAGGGCTTGACTCATGTTCCTCCATTGTCTTTTTGTTCACGCTCTTCAGGGCTTTATGAAAAGCAGAAATTCCAGCAGCCTCTCCCTGCAGGTCTTAAGTTCAGATGCGAATCCCGACACTGACAGTTGCTAGCTGCAAGATTTGGGAAAAGTCACTTTAAAACAAATAAACAACTTGTAAAGTCTTGATTTCTTTGTCTGTTCTGTGAGGATGCAGACAACTATCTGAAAATTCACTTGAATGGAAAACTTTGACTCATTTTTTTCCAGTGGCCCCTTACAGGACAAAGAGATAAAGAACAAGAAGTTAGACTCACTTGGGAGGTTCCTTTTATAAATGAACTTTTAGAACCCACCTGTCCCATTTGTACAGATTCAGCCTGGTTTCAGGTGCCTCCAGCTCTTAGAGTTGTGGAGAGTTTGAGGTTGATGGAAATGCTTTCACAGAGGATTTTTGTAATCTTCACATAATCCTGAGAAGTAGGTAGGTTTGCGTCTTATTCTCACTCTTCAGAGGAGGAAACAGATTTAGAGAATTTTGAATTTTTTTAAAAAAGCAATTTGCCTAGAATCTCCCAGCTACTAAGTAGAGCCAATCCTGAAACCCACGTCTTCTGGCTCTAATCCTCAGTCCTTCTCCCAGGGTCCACAGCACTGAGGTCACCGATGACCCAAATGATAATCTAAATAATGACTCTGAGGCTGGACAAGATGCCAGATCTTCAAAGAGAGAGTCTATTTGATCATTCCATTGCACCAGCAAAGTGGGTTTGAAATCTGTAGAGAGATTTCTTTTTCCCCAATAATAGCAGATGAAACAATACTGGTTAAAGAACATTCCATTTCCTAAGCATTCCCATTTTAAGTCTATGTCCCAGTCATTAACATGGCCATACATAGATTCACCATTTGAAGGAAGAAATATATAGAAAAGCTGTCACAGAAACTTAAAACAGCCTATAGCAGGAAATGAGGAAAAAACACCATATATTGTAATCCTGTTTCTGTCTCCAAGGAGCAAACTCAAAAACAGACACCTATGGCTTTAAGAGAAACAGTTATACTGGGAGAGTGTTACACGTGCGAAGGAAGAGAATGTTTTTCATGCCTTGGTTCAGGGGATTCCCGACGGCCTGGGTCTGCTTCCAACAGCCCCCAGCATTCCATGTGTGTGCTATCTGGTATGTGTTTATTATTGGGTATGAACAATTTAGGGAGGAAAGCACTGGTTCCCTCCAGGGGACCTTTGTACCTTACAACGGCACCACCCCTTCACCTCTGGTGGGGGGAAGGTCATCCAGGCATTCACGGCCTTCCCGCCTCTACCCTTATTCTTCCTTAATCCCCACTTCTTCCTCTCTGGCATCTCCATTTGTTCCTAAATATTTTTCTGTTTTCCCTGCTTCTGAAGAAAAGCTTGGACAAAGGGACCCTAAGGAAGACACACTGAAACTTTTCCTAAATCAGGCACCATCACTGTGGGCTCTCTTCTTTTCCCTTAGAGCTAAGACATGGATTGTGAGATAGACATGGTCTAACTCCTCCTCGGTCTGGTGAACTCTAACGGTATAAAATCAGTCCAGATAGTGAACAGGTGGTTTGGCTCCTCTAAGGAGCTTCAGTTTGGTAGCATTTCACCTGGGCTTCTCAAGCTTGCATATTACCTAGAGCACTACACCTGAGAACTAGAGGCCCTGGGAGGTTCGTCTATTTTTTTTTTTTTTTGGATAGGACTCTTGCTATATTGCCTAAGCTGGTTTCAAACTCCTGGCCTCAAGCTATCCTCCTGCCTCAGCCTCCTTAGGAGCTGAGATTACAGGCAGAAGTTCATCTTACCTCATCTCTCAGTGTGGTCCAGATCTGTGGGGTGGTTTTCCTTAGTCATGCTTATTACTGTGTTATCTTAAAGATCAGGAGTCATACCTTACTTGCCAAATCCAATTTCCTCCGCCCATTTTTCATCTTCCTTGGTATCTTGTGGTAGGTGACCCTGTTGGGAAGACCCTATCCTGGTTCTCCCCCTTCCTCTCAGTGTGATGCTTCAATCTCCTTGGCAGTTCCTCTTCTTTCCTACCTCTGACTATGGATGCGACCCTAAATTTTGCTCTTGATCTTCTTGCCTTCTCTCCCCTCACATTATCCTTTGGTAAATTTACCAACCACTGCTTTATGTATCACCTTCATATGAATGATTCCTGAATCTTTATCTCAAGTCCCATGGTTTTCCATGACAACAATATCCAAGTCCGTATGATTCCACTGAAAATGTGAGAGGTGAAAAAAATATTAGAGGAGGATATCAGAGTGACAGTTTAATAGCTGAGGTCATATAATTGAATCGTGGTGGAGAGCTTACTAGTGTGCCCTAACCTTCCTTCCCCTTCCTTTTCTTCTATCACCTCATGTCTTTTCACCAGCCAAACTGCTCTTCTGTAAGCTGCTCCTTCCTCCTGACCCCATGCCCACAATTGTTCACTTTGTTTCCTTCCTGAAATGCACACTCCTCCTCCCCTTGCCTTTATCTCTCAAAACCCTACCCTAATTTAGTGCACATGAAATACTGGTGTCTCTCTTCTAGTTCCTTAAAAAGAAAAGTAGAGAGAAGCACCGTTAGTCAAAGGGGCACCAGGATAGCCAAGAGGGTGGGACTCTAATGGGTCAGCATTCTCAGGGGTCTCAGTGGAACCTGCCCATAGATTTTTCTTTTCTTTCTTTCTTTTTTTTTTTTTTTGAGATGGAGTCTTGCTCTTCTCACCCAGGCTGGAGTGCATTGGTGTGATCTCAGCTCACTGCAACCTCCACCTCCCAGGTTCAAGCGATTCTCCTGCCTCAGCCTCCCGAGTAGCTGGGATTACAGGCACCCACCACCATGCCTGGCTAATTTTTTTGTATTTTTAGTAGAGACAGGGTCTCACCATGTTGGCCAGCTGGTCTCAAACTCCTGACCTCAGGTGATCCACCCACCTTGGTCTCCCAAAGTGCTGGGATTACAGGCGTGAGCCAACACACCCAGCCCCTGCCCATAGATTTAAGGAGAAAAAGGCAAAGAATCTGCCCCCACCCATGCCTTCTTTCCATGACCTACCTCTCCACAATCAATATTTAATAAAATCCAAAATATTTTTAGCTGACCATATGTCAAAAGTTAAGTATTATGTAGGAGGAAATTCAATGAAATCTTTAAACCATTTGTTCAAAAAAAAACCACTCCAAAACAAGTCCAAATGTTTGTTAGTAATTTAAGAGGCATAGCAGATTTTGGCCCTGTTAAAATTCCTTACACAATGACTTATTTTAGGCATTATTACAACTTTTGGTTTAAAGGACAACTATTTTTATGGACATTATGAATTATATGCTGTCTCTTACCATTTATTCTATTTGCCCCCCGACTTTTTCTACCCTGCCCACTCATATGATTGGAATAGTCATGTGGTTTTGCAATTCTCTTTTGCTCTGGTCAAATTTTGGTTAGAATTTAATATCAAATGTAAGTATGCTGGAAATATTTTAATATTTTTTTCTAATTTTGTATTTTTTTCTATTATTTAAATGTCTTGAAGAAAAAAATGAGAAAGTGTGCTGGTGAATAGCATTGCATGGATTCTAATAAATTCTCCACAAATATCTCTTTTAAATTGATTATTAATCATCAGGGATACTGGACAAAGATGCTAGTGGCACATGGCGCTCTATTTTTAGGTCTCCTAAAACTAATCCTTTGATTAGTTGACTAAGCTGTTTTTATTAGTTGAGCAGAAAAATCCACATTTAGTGGAGATTTAAATACTTGCATTTAACTTTTTACACAGTGGCTTATAAAACCATCGTGACATCAGTAAAATTACACAGTCCCCAAACTCAAGTCCCAGTGATACAATGTCTGGTCATGAGAATGAGGCCACACTTCTGAGCTTGATACTGAAGCAAATCAATTATAGTCATGCTGCCCCCAACCCAGTGGCCAAGCGGTGGGGCAGGGAATTGGGACACTCAAGCCATGAGTCTGTGTTCCATGGCACCATGCTGCCCCATGACCACCAGCCATCTGCCTAGCTGGCAGATTTTATAAGAGACCAAACTTACTCTCATTGCTAGTGAAACAATCCCACAATTATATGGTCCTGAGAGTCTGTCAGTCAGTTATCACATCTCTGCATATAAACAATGGATTATTAGGACAATTTAATAAGGCATTAGCACACTTGAAATCCTGATTCTCATTCTTTTCTTGTGAATGAAAGCATGTTCTGTATCCAAACTTTAAGTAGGGACCCCTCCCGCACACTCTAATTATGGGTCATCAACCTTTCAAAAGTGGAGTGTCAAGTGTCTGACCCTTATTTTAAGTGAGATGATGTATGGGAAGTGCCTGGCCACAAGCATATCATAGAGACCTGGAAAATGGCAACACTCATTCCTGTGATTAATTCTAAGGGTTCCTACTGACTCCTCTGAGGTTCTGCAGATGGATGTTGTGGGAGTCCTTATGCCACCAAACATCGACCAACCCATTTTCCTCTGGGCCTTGTACTTCTCCCTCGTTGCCTTGTCACAATTTTAAGGCTATCTCTGATTCTTGGGCAATTCCAAGGTCAGCACTGCCAGGAAGTCACAGTGTAGGCCTACTCCCTTAAATCAGCCTCCTTTGCTAAACCGTGAGCTCCATTCAGGGCTGCCCCGTTGTTGGCCGAGTTCCTCTTCTTATTTCCTGGGGCCTAGGACAGTCCTAGCATTAGTATACAGTACCTTGGCTCCTCATCCAGCCCACATCTTCTCAACCCTCTGATTGCTGCTAGAAACAAAAGCAGTTCTCATGAATTTAAGGTTACTTGATTTATCCTCTTCTAGGTCATATAAGGTACTTACTTCACTGTGGGACAGTGATTTGGCTAAGACTGAGTTTCTCTCCCACACAGTACCTCATGGGAGACACTGCAGGGCCTGTGCACTCAAAAAACACGCCCTTTCCTCACAAGGGACAGTCAAGCTGCTTAGGTAGTCACAGAATTTTCTGGAAAGAGGAAGTTCTATAAATGACCATCTCATTTTACAGGGTTCAGTAAACATACTGCAAAAACTAATAGCTATTAGTTAATGTCCTCAGATGCATTACATAGTCCGGGGTTATTTTCACTCCTCTTATTTTAAAGTAATAAAGAGTTTCTAGGATAATTTTAATTGACTTTTCTATTTTTCATCTTTACCTAACCACAGACAAAAGGGAGCCAACAGTTCCTGTATAAAACTTTTCATTGCCAAATACCATTGGGTCTTTCTGATTGTGCAGTGCACACCCATTGTTAATTACCCTGATTGTTATCCCTAATGAGTGAGGCTGGTTCTGAAGCTTGGGAAATCCCCATTTTCAAGACAGACAGGAAATCACAGACTGGGCTTTGATTGACCTGGAGATTTCTTCTCACCTTCCTGGCACCTTCCCTTACATTTAGATGCACCCAACCTCCATGTGGGCATAAGTGACAGTAGGAGAGCTTCAGTGAAAGTGAGAAGCTGTTTTCCCTGCAATCATTTGGAAAATATAGAATGTGGAAGTGGAAAATGATTTAGAGTTCTATTATTTCGTCCATCTTCTTTACTCTGGGTTTCTTCTTCACTTCTAAATTTTCTTTAAATTTTTTTAAATTTTTCATGTTTGTGGGTACATAGTAGGTGTTTACATTTATGCGATACAAGAGATGTTTTGATACAGGCATGGAATGTGGGATAAGCACATCATAGGCAATGGGGCATCCATCCCCTCATGCGTTTATCCTTTGACTTACAAACAATCCAATTATACTCTTTAAGTTATTTTAAAATGCACAATTGTTATTATTGACTATGATTACCCTGTTGTGCTATCAAATAGTAGGTCTTACTTATTCTATTTCATTTTGCCAGTAAAGAAAATGTAGCCCAGGGTGGCTAAGTGATGAGGCTAAACAAGGACCAGGATCCAGAAGGATAAGCTGGGAGCTGGAGTTCTCCAGACAAAGCCCAAGCAAGGGTCCCTCTGCCACCGAGTTCTACTGTGCAACTCCAAGCTTATGTGAGGCACAATCTGTGGGGAGAAATAATAGTTAATAATTCTTTTGTATACTTTGACTGGAAGCTTCTGAACCTCTAAGACATATTTTAAAAGTAGAAATAAAGAGAGGAAAAGAGATAAGTACTTAATTTAGATGTTAGATACAGCTTCGTAGCCATACCGTAATTCTTCTTGATTTTATTTAGTTAAATGATGACCAAATTGCCATCATGGGTGATTTTTAAGAGGGGTTGAATGACCTAATTGGCCTGGTTTTTTATAACAGCCTGATTCCCCCTGACTCCCTATGTTTTGACAAAACTCATACACAGTTATAGATCAAAAGGCAGACAACATGAAATCAGGAAGTGTTAAGGGTGCTACACTGAGAATCTCTTGTAAAGGGATAATTGAGGACCTGCTTCCAAGCTGAACTCCTGACCCCAGGGGCTAGAACATCAAGGACAGAGATAATCTCAATCTCGGGTGTTTGAGCAATGGTCGACCCTGCTGGGAGAAATGGATCCTTATCTAAGCACCCATGAGCATGCGATCATCCTGGCAATGATTCAGAATATCAACCAACTGGCATGCCTCTTACAAATGTGCCCTTCAGAAAAGGGTTCTTTTTTTATGCTTAAGATTTTATCGCTTTCCAACATCTCAGCATTCCTTCAAAATTAACCTTCTCCTTCTCTTTATTTATTATTGACATTAATATCAACCACACCAGTTATCAATGTCAAAGTTGTTAATTTTGCTAATATTAATTTAAGCCATATTCAGTACTCTCATTAAACCAATATTGGTTATAAATAATGTCCCGTCTAAATATCATGTGTGGTTGTGTTTGAAACAGGAGACCTTGGTTAAAATATCAGCTGTGTGTCCTTGGGAATAACTCTTCAGTTTTCAGAGTCTCATTGCAAAATGAGAATAATGACACCTATTCCATGAGGCTTTTGTTTCTTAATGATGCTACAGATAGTGTGTTCATTGTACAAAACAATTTTTGAAGAGCAATGTATCTTATATTTTAAAAGAAACAGAGGCATTGCCAGCAGGCACTGTGCCAATTAAAGTCACAAATAATTTCATTAGAATTAGTCATTTGAGAAATTTGCACTTTACTGATATTTTAAATTAGAGTTTATAATAATAAAAATTAAGAATTTTTTTCTTTTGAAAAATCTCAACCAGTAAAGAAGTTTTAAACATCTGACAAACTTCATAAGGCTTTTGAGGTAATCAAATGAAACAATATACTTATTTTTTAGGTGGCTAGATAGATGTTCATGCATAAAATTTCAAATAATCCCCAAAGTTTTGAATTCTCAATTCTTAGGATAATACTCTACTTTGGCCTCTTTCATGAAAATTTACTAAGGTTTTACTAGAATCATTATCAAGATTTTTTCCAAGAGGAGATGCTACCCCGTAAAATATTTCACAATTATACTTAGATGCTACCTGAGTAGATCAAATAAAGACCTGTAGAAGAATTACCCTTTCTTCAAATGTTATCAGTGGGAACAGCTATGAACAAAAAATTTTAGCAAGTGCTAAAAGAGAATACATCTTCAGACCTTTTCTTTATAAGAGGATCTGTCTGAAATCTTTGAGAAATGGTCAGAAAAAAGCCGGACATTCAGACTGTTGTTATTTAAAAACTTCTGCACATGTATCCCAGAACTTAAAGTATATTTAAAAAAACTCTATCAGAAAATCATAAATGTGTCATTCCTATAGCACTTAAGTTTTGCCTCCAAAAGGATCAAACAGATCTGTTACAGAGAGTCATGAGCAACTTATGAATCTTTGAACATATGCGTTTAATGGAGAAGGTGGGATACCATTCTTGGATATACAGTGATGCTATTTAATAAATCAATGGATTTTACAAAGTAGGCACAGGACACTTTCCGGTTTCAACTTGTGGAGGTCAAGATCTCCACTGAATTCGGTTATAGAACCTGATATACCAAGAGCACTTTTCACAGCTTGCTTCAATGTGACTGCTTGGTTTACCTAGCATCTTCTACCACCTGGGTCATGGGCTATGTCTAGATAACCAACCCCTACCACAGCTGAATGGCATGGATGTAGGTACACTCAGAGTCTGATGGATATTCTGGCCTCCCTTAGGGGAGAAGGAAGAATATCGGTCAACTTGTTGAGAAATTTTTTACCAGATTTGAAGAACAATGAGAGTACCCCAACCCACCCACATCCAAACAGAGTATATATCAATTACAGAATAAATCAGGACTACATCTCAGTCCTCCAAGCCTGCTAGTCAGTTCTCAGTTTCCTACCCTTAAAAAAAGACAAAATGGATGGGGAAAAAATGAGAAGGCTGATTCTAAAACTGTCAAGGGAGTGTAAAGAAACTCCAAAATCATAGTACAATTTCTTTTGAAAATTAGTGAGCATATGATACATACAATACTGTGTAAAGAGGCCTTACATATGCTTGCTGGCTCTTCTTATCTCTAGTGAGAATTCTGTTTTGCAATAAGAGAAACTCAAGTGCAAGAGACAAACATGTTCAAGGTCATATAGTACTGAATACATGATGCAAGTTGCTGGGAAGGCATTCCAGTGATGGTGACATTTCCAGTTATTTCTGTGTTATGCGTAACTCTTTTCTCCAGGCCTCAGTAGCTCGGGAGGTAAATGGAGACACATTACATAGGATTGCCAGATAAAATACAGAACATCCAGTTATATTTGAATTTCAGAGAAACAACAAGTACTTTTTTAGTATAAGTATACTCATAGTAAAGTAAGTAGGACATGCTTATATTACAAAATTACTTGTTGTTTCTCTGCAATTCAAATTTAACTAGATGTTCTCTATTTTTACTTGCTAAATTTGACAACTCTACATTAACAACTGTATTTCCCTGATTCTGTTTTCATCTGTTATTAAAGAATCTCTAATCTCTCTTAAGAATCTTTCCTGTCCATGGGAAGACTGAGATATCTTCCCACTGACTTTACTGATACTTTAAATTACAGTTTATAATAATAAAAATAAAGAATTTTTTTCTTTTGAAAAATCTCAACCTGTAAAGAAGTTTTAAACATCTGACACACTTCATAAGGCTTTTGAGGTAATCAAATGAAACAATATATTTATTTTTTAGGTGGCTAGATAGATGTTCATGCATAAAATTTCAAATAATCCCCAAAGTTTTGAATTCTCAATTCTTAGGATAATACTCTACTTTGGCCTCTTTCATGAAAATTTACTAAGGTTTTACTAGAATCATTATCAGGATTTTTTCCAAGGGTGCACACAAACATCACTTATTAGCAGCTTCAATTTCTTCTCTCCTGCTTTGGCTTTTGCTTCTTGAGACCATGTCTTCTGGTGAATCTTCTGATACCCGGGAGGATCCATGAATGTACCCTCATGATGCATTATTTTCCTTTGAAGCTGCTCCAGTTGCATTGCTCCAGTGCCAAACCGGGGACTCAGGGCTGGTGGCTTTTGATTATCAAGGGCTTTCTTCAATATGTGACATAGTAAGTGACAGCAAGAGCTTTGGTGTCAGAGAGATGAGAAATCTGGACCTGGTTTCATCACCTTCTAGCTGTGTAACCTTAGGCAGCTTTCTTCATCTCAATAGGCATCAGTTTCTCATGGTAAAACAAGATACCACCTACAGCTATATCTACTTTAAATTATTATTCAGGAATTATTATTACTATTTATAATTATTATTTGAGGATTAAATCAGATAATGCATAAAGATACTTAGTACAGCATCTAGCATCATGTAACTTTAAGTATTAAAGATAAATTATCTTGAAGAAGTAATTTAAAAGCACATAGATGTAAGATTAGTTTAATAAATAACAGTACGTTCACACAAAGGAGTTTTTTAAATGGAGTTTAAAAATTTAAAATGATCTCTGTAAACTTATATGGAATTATTTCTAAGATATATTGGTAAATTGGGGGAAAAAGCAAGTACCAAAAAGAGTATATATTTTATAGTGCCTTTTGCATGATAAATGAAGGGAAATAAGAGGCAGAACTTCTGCAATGGTGGAGTAAGGACCCCTGAAAACCCTCTTCCCCTAAGAGGAAACAAGAAAAATTATCCAGGGCACAGCCAAGATGGCCGACTAGAAGCAGCTAGGGTGCATGGTTCTCACAGAGAGGAATGAAAGGGGCGAGTAAATGCAGCACCTTCAACTGAAACATCCAGGTACTTGCATTGGAACTAATAAAGGAAACAACTTAAAGAGAACGGAGAAAAGCAAGGCAGGATGATGGCCCACCTGGGAGTGACACGGAGGCAAGGGAACCTCCCCTGCCCAGGGAAGTGGCGAGTGAATGTGCCACCCTGGGAAACCATGCTCCTCCCACGGATCTTTGCAACCCTCAGGTCAGGAGATCCCCTCAGAAGCCACTCCACCAGGGCCTTCAGTCCGGCACAGAGAGCTATGTGGAGTCTCACAGAGCAGCCACTGAGGCATATGTGGAGACCTGGAGCTTTCGATACTCCGGCTCCCGGCTTCCCAGCAAAAGTAACTGCAACTCTAGCAAAGCGGGAGAATAGACCCCCGTACATAACCCTAAGAAAGAGGCTGAATCCAGGGAGTGGAGCAGTCACTTCCATTGCACCTCACAGGATAAGACCCACTGGCTTGGAATTTCAGCCACCAGCAGCAGTGCTGCGCCTCCCTGGGACAGAGGTCCCTGGGGGTGGGGCGGGGGGGAGCACCATCTTTACTGTTTGGGCGACTCAGCCATTCCACCCTACGAACTTTGGAGAGTCCAAACTGATGGAGGGAGGAAGAGATCCCCCAGCACAGCACAGCTGCTCTACCCAAACTTGACCCCACTGCATTTTTAAGCGGGTCCTGGATCTGTTCCTCCTCACTGGGCTTGACCTCCCAACTGGGGCCTCCAGCCACCTCCACTAGTCTTCTCCAGCTGACAGACATTTGAATTCTCCCTGAGACAGAACTCCCAGAGGGACAGGTGGGCTGCCATCTTTGCTGTTTGGGTGACTTAGCCGTTCCAGCCTAAAGGCTTTGGAAAACCCAAGTCGACCAGGGCAGAAGCAGTACCCCAGCACAACACAGCTGCTCTACAGAAGCTTCTTTAATTGGATCCCTGATCCCTTTTCTCCTCACTGGGTGGAACCTCCCAACCAGGGCCTCCAGCCACCCCTGCTGGTGTTCTCTGGCTAACAGAAATTTGAATTCTCCCTGGGACAGAGCTCCCAGCGGGAGGGGCAGGCTGCCAACTTTGCTGTTTGGGCAACTCAGCCATTCCACCCTGCAGGCTTTGGAGTGTCCAAACTGATGGAAGGAGGAAGGGATCCCCCAGCACAGCACAGATGCTCAACGAAAGCATGGCCAGACTGCTTCTTTAAGTGGGACCCTGATCCCGTTCCTCCTGACTGATTGGGCAAGACCTCCCAACCAGGGTCTCCAGCCACCATGTACAGGTGTGTTCGGACCAGCAACAGGTCCGTACCTCCCTGGGTTGGAGCTCCCAAAGGAAGGGGCAGGCTGCCATCTTTGCTGTTTCACAGCCTTCACTGGTGATGCCTCCAGGTACTGGAAAATCCGAGGTGACTAGGGACTAGAGTGGACCCCCAGCAAACCACAACAGCCCTATGGAAAGGTGGCCAGACTGTTAAAAGAAAAAAACGCTCCATCCAAGGGTCAGCAACCTCAAAGATTGAAGGTAAATAAGCCCGCACAAATTTGAAAAAGAAGCAGTGCAAGAATGCTGAAAACACAAAAAGTCAGCATGCCCTCTTTTCTCTAGAGGACAGCATCACCTCTCCAGCAAGGGTTCAGAAGCAGGATGAGGCTGAGATGGCTGAAATGACAGAAGTAGAATTCAGAATATGGATATGATGAAATTGCCAAGAGTAATTGCAACAACAGCAAAAGTTGACAAATGGGATCTAATTAAACTAAAGAGCTTCTGCACAGCAAAAGAAACTATCATCAGAGTGAACAGGCAACCTACAGAGTGGGAGAAAATTTTTTCAACCTATCCATCTGACAAAGGCCTAATATGCAGAATCTACAAGGAACTTAAACAAATTTACAAGAAAGAAAAATCAATCTCATTAAAAAGTGGGCAATCTCATTACTGGGTATATAGTCAAAAGAAAATAAATTGTTCTACCAAAGACACATGCACTCGTGTGTTCATTACAGCATTATTCACAATAGTGAAGACATGAAATAAACCCAGGTGCCCATCAGTGATGGATTGGATAAAGAAAATATGGTGCAATCAAAAAACTCATCCACCACAATGAAGTAGGCTTCATCTCTGGGATGCAAGGTTGATTCAACATATGCATATCAATAAATGTGATTCATCACATAAACGGAACTAAAAACAAAAACCACATGATTATCTTAATAGATGAAGAAAAGATTTTTTATAAAATTCAACATTCATTTATGTTTAAAACTCCCAATAAGCTGGATATTGAAAAAATATACCTCAAAATAATAAGAGCCATCTATGACAAACCCACAGCCGACACCATACTAAATGGGCAAAAGCCGGAAGCATTCCCCTTGAAAACAGGCAAAAGACAAGGATGCCCTCTCTCACCACTCCTATTCAACATAGTACTGGAAGAGGAGGTCAAGCTATCCCTGTTTGCAGATGACATGATCTTATATCTAGAAAACCTCATTGTCTCAGCCCCAAAACTTCTGAAGCTGATAAACAACTTCAGCAAAGTCTCAGGATACAAAATCAATATGCAAAAATCACTAGCATTCCTATACACCGACAACCATCAAGCCAAGAGCCAAATCAGGAATGAACCCCCATTCACAATTGCCACAAAAAGATTAATATACCTAGGAATATGGCTGATTGGGGAGGCGAAAGATCTCTATATGGAGAACTCCAAACCTCTGTTCAAAGAAATCAGAGATGACACGAACAAAGAAAACCTTTCCATGCTCATGGATAGGAAGAATCAATATCAGTAAAATGGCCATACTGCCCAAAGCAATTTATACATTCAACACTATTTTCATTAAACTACCATTGACATTCTTCACAGAACAAGTAAAGACTATTTTAAAACTCATGTGGAACCAAAAAAGAGCCTCAATAGCCAAGGCAATCCTAACCAAAAAGAACAAAGCTAGAGGCATTACACTACCTGACTTCAAACTATGCTACAGGGCTATAGTAACAAAAACAGCAGGCACTTGTACAAGAACAGACACATAGACCAGTGGAACAGAATAGAGACCCCAGAAATAAGACTGCACACCTAAAATGATCTGATCTTCAACAAACCTGACAAAAACAAGCAATGGGGAAAGGATTCCCTATTGCATAAATGGTGCTGGAATATCTGGCTAGCCATATGCAGAAGACTGAAACTGGACCTCTTCCTTACACCATATACAAAAATTAACTCAAGATGGATTAAAGACATAAATGTAAAACCCCAAAATTATAAAAACCCTGTAAGACAACTTAGGCAATACCATTCAGGGCATAGGCATGGGGAAAGATTTCATGACAAAAACACCAAAAACAATTGCAACAAAAGCTAAAATTGATAAATGAGATCTAATTAAACTAAAGAACTTCTGCATATCAAAATAAACTATCAACAAAGTAAACACACAACCTACAGAATGGGAGAAAATTTTTGCAAACTATGCATTCAACAAAGGTCTAATATCCAGTATCTATAAGGAACTTAAACAAATTTACAACAAACAAACAAGCTCATTAAAAAGTGGGCAAAGGACATGAACAAACACTTTTCAAAAGAATACATACATGTGGCCAAAATAATTAGAAAAAAAGCTTAACACCACTGATCATTAGAGAAATGCAAATCAAAACCACAATGAGATACCATCTCATGCCAGTCAGAATGGCAATTATTACAAAGTCAAGAAACAACAGATGCTGGCAAGGCTGTGGAGAAATAGGAACACTTTTACATTATTGGTGGAAATGTAAATGAGTTCAACCATTGCGGAAGACAGTGTGGCAATTCCTCAAAGACCTAGAACCAGGAATACCATTTGACCCAGTAATCCCATTACTGGGTATATACCCAAAGGAATAGAAATCATTCTGTTATAAAGACACATGAACACACATATTCATTGCAGCACTATTCGCAATAGCAAAGACATGGAATCAACCTAAATGCTCATCTATGATAGACTGAACAAAGACAGTGTGGTACATATACACTATGGAATATAATGCAACTATAAAAAAGACTGAGATCATGTCCTTTGTGGGGACATGGATAAAACTTGTGGCCATTATCCTCAGCAAACTGACACAGGAACAGAAAACCAAATACTGCACGTTTTCACTTATAAGTGGAAGCTAAATGATGAGAACACATGGACACATAGAGGTGAACAACACACACTGGTGCCTTTCAGAGGTTGGAGGGTGGAAGGAGGGAGGGGATCAGATAAACAACTAGTGGGTACTAGGCCTAATACCTGGGCGATGAAATAATCTGTACAACAAACCCCCATGACATGAGTTTACCTATGTATTATCTATGAAATAAACCTGGACTTGTACCTCTGAACTTAAAATAAAAGTTCTAAAAAAAGAAACATAAAAAATTGTTGAAATCAATGTTTTCAGAACTCTGGAAATTAAGCAAAGTCTTAATTTTTTTAAAAGGCTGAATTAAGCAAAGTCTTGTTTTTTTAAAAGGCTGAATCTCAGTAAAAACAGCAAGAATTGTGGCATTTTAACCTGCTGTAGTCCTAACTCCCTCTCCTCAGCTCTGGAATAGCCTTGAAGACCAGTAGTTTCATAACCGTGGTACCCATGAAAACCAGCAACCTAATAGCCAATGGAAAGGATCAAATGGCTTTGGGGAGCCTCAAAAAGAGAAAATATTTGACCTCTACGAAAGTTCCCCAGAGAAACTCTGTTTGTAGGGCTTATCAATATTTCACCTGACACAAAGCTTGTTCAGTCTGAAAAGCCTGATCCCAAGGACATATATCAAAAACAATCAGTGCAGTTATCTAAAGTCACAGCTGTCTGTAGCAATGATACCATTTGAGGCCAAAATAAAATAAAATAAAGTAAACGTAAGGGATCTGGGGAATGAGATATTCAAAGCACCAACATATTCCTGGGGTCTAGAAGACCAAGCACATATGTGAGGCTGTGTACATGACCAGGAAAGCACTGAGAAGGCCCTAATCTCTTATCTCTGGATGACCTTGAGGTCTAACACATGCAGGCAATGAAGGCTGTGGCATTGAAGGTGTGACCTAACACACACAGAGTCCCTTGATAAATGGTAGGAGACTTATTGGTTCAAGGCATTTAAGGAAATCTCTGTCAAATCAATAATTGATCATTAAGAGAACTGAGCAGAGTCTTCAGTGGCTGCTCATAATAAGAAATTCAGACTTTACAGAGTAAGTTTAGAAAAGCTACTATACAAACAAATAGTAACAACTACAAAGAAACAGAAAAGAATGATCCGTACTTGGGGGGAAAAAGAAGTAGTCAGTAGAGACTGTTCTTGAGTTAGCCCAGATGTTAACTTACTAGACAGAAAGCAGCTTTTATAAGTATGTTCAAAGAACTAAAGAACCATGTTTTAAAAGTTAAAGGAAAGTATGAGAGCAATGTATCACCACATAGAGAATGTCAATAAAAATATAGAAATTATATTTAAATACCTGGAGTTGAAAAGTCAGTGATATGGTTTGGCTCTGTGTCCCCACCCTAATCTCATCTTGACTTGTACTCCCATAATTCCCATGTGTTATGGGAGGGACCTGGTGGAAGATAATTGAGTTATGGGGGCAGTTTCCCTCATACTGTTCTCATGATTGTGAGTAAGTCTCACGAGAGCTGATGGTTTTATCAGGGGTTTCTGCTTTTACATCTTCCTCATTCTTTCTTTGCCTGCTGCCATCCATGTAAGATGGGACTTGCTCCTCCTTGCCTTCTGCCATGATTGTGAGGCTTCCTCAGCCATGTGGAACTATAAGTCCAATTAAACCTCTTTCTTTTGTAAATTGCCCAGTTTTGGGTACATCTTTATCAGCAGCATGAAAATGGACCAATATAATCAGTAACTAAAACAAAACATTTGGTAGAGAAGCTCAATAACAAATTTGAGTTGGCAAAAGAAAGAATTAGCAAACTTGAAGACAGGTCATTTGGGATTACCTAGTTTGAAGAAAAGAGAGAAAAATGAATAGATTCTCAGAGATTTGTGAAGCAAATATTTTATACCATTAAGTGTGCCAACACATTCGTAGTAGGAATTCCAGAGAAGAGGAGAAAGAAAAAGGAGAAGAAAAAGATATTTTTTAAATGATGGCTGAAAATTTAGCAAATTTAATGAACTGCATTAATCTGCATATGCAAAAAGCTGAACAAGCTCCAAGTAGGATAAACTAAAAGAAATTCACATCTATATACATCATAATAAAATTGCCAAAACCAAAGACAAGGATCTTCAGAGCACCAAGAGAAAGGTGAGTCATCACTTATAAGAGCTCCTCAATAAGATTAACAGTTTACTTCTTATCAGAAACCATGGAAGCCAGAAGGCATAAGGATGATCTATTAAAAAGTGCTGGGGGTGGGGGGGAGGCGGAACCCCTTAGTTAACCAAAAATTTTATATCCTTCAAAAATAAAGCAAACACTGAGATATTACATAGAAAAAAATAACAGAATTTGTTGCTAAAATACATTCCCTATAAGAAATAGTAGGAAGTTCTTCAGGCTGAAATGAGAGAATGCTAGATGGTAATGTGAATCCACATGAAGTAATAAAGAGCATCAGTAAGGATAACTACATGGGTACATATAAAACTATAAATGTATTTTGGAAAAACTTTTCCTATCTGGTTTGAATAACACTAGGAAAGCAACTCACAAAAACTTGGTAAAAGAAAGAACAATGGAATTTAAGTGGTATATTAGAACATATCTGTTTGAGACAAAAAATGCAGTAATGAAAAAATAGAGAACAAAAATGACCTAAGACATGTAGACATGTAACAAAGGGGCAGACATAAATCCTACCTTCTAATTAATTACAATAATGTAACTATTTGTTATATTAAGTGTAAATGGAATAGGTGCTCTAGTGAAAAGCAGATATTGGCACAATGGATTTTAAAAGCAAGCATACAAACAAACAAAGCATATTCCAACTATAAACCACATACAAGAAATATAGTTTAGATTCAAGACACAAATAGATTGAAAATAAAATAACGAGAAAAGGTATACCATGCACACAAAAACCAGTAGACAACTTGACCGGCTATACTCATATCAGACAAAATAAATTTTGAGACCAAATTGTTACTAGAGGCAAAGAACAACATTTTTATAATAAAGAAAAGGTCAATTTATAAGGAAGATTAAACAAATATAAACATACAAACACTTAACAACAAATTACCAAATTACATGAAGAAAAATTGTCAAAATTGAAAGAAGAAATAAGAAATTTTAACAATAATAGTTGGAGATTTCAATCCATCATGTTCAATAATTGATAGAATAACTAGGCAAAATGTCAACGAGGAAACATGAAAGTTGAATAGCACTATAGACCAAATAGTCAACCTAACAGACATCTCTAAGTTACTCTATTAAATAATATCAGAAGATACTTTCTTACCAATAATGCATGAAACGTTCTCCAGGATAGACCATATGCTAGGCCATAATATAAGCATCAAGAAATTTAAAAGAATTGAAATCATGCAAAGTATTTTTTAAACTATAATGAAATATAATTAAAAATCAATAAGTAAAGGAAAATTGGGAACTTCACAAATATGTGGAAATTAAAGAACACACTCTTTCATAACCAATGAGTCAAAGAATAAATTACAAAGAAAATTTGAAAGTACTTTGAGATGACACTGCATACCAAATCTCTTTCTTTCAACTTTTATTTTAGGTTCAGGGGATACATGTGCAGGTTTGTTACATGAGTAAATTGTGTGTCCCTGAGGTTTGGTGTGCAAATGATTTTGTCACCAAGGTAGTGAGCATAGTGTACTGATAGGTAGTTTTTCAAACCCTCACTGTCCTCCCACCTTCCACCCTCAAGTAGGTTCCAGTGTCTACTGTTCCCCTCTTTGTGTCCATGTATACTGAATGTTTAGTTTCCACTTATAAGTGAGAACATGTGGTATTTGTTTTTCTTTTCCAACATAGCAAAACTTAAGGGAATCAGCTAAAGCAGTGCATAGAGTGAAACTTATAGCTACAAATATCTATATTTAAAAAAGAGAGAGAGAATTGTCAAATAAATAACCTAATGTTCCACCTTAGGAAACCAAAAAAAGAAGAATACACTAAACCTACAGCAAGCAGAAGGAAATAAATAGTAAATATTAGAATAGAAAGAAATGGAATAGAGCAGAAAAACAATAGAGAAAATCAATGAATTGAAAAGTTGGCTCTTTGAAAACATCAACAAAATTGACTCACATTCAGGTAAATGGATGGTAGGAGAGGAGTAGTGTGTGTTTGTGTGTGTGTGTGTGAGAGAGAGACAGAGTGACAGAGAAAGAGAGACAAGACTCATTAAAATTTAGAATGAAAGAGGAGACATCACTGCTGATCTTACAGAAATAAAATAACTATAAGGAATACTATGAACGACTGTATACTAACAAATTAGATAACCTATGTGGCATGGACAAAGTCCTAAAAAAACAGATTACCAAAAATGATCAAGAAAACATAGAAAATCTGAATAGATCTATAATAAGAGATTGAATTAGTAATTTCAATTCCTCATTAAGAAAGCCTGCTCCTTTCTGGTGATTCTTTCCTTAGTCTTACTAGTTTCTTCACACAGATGCATAGATTAGCACTCAACAGAAGACTCAAGGGAAATCCTCTTCAGCTCTCTGAGACTCTCTCTCTCGGTGAAGCTCTCTCCTCTCTGGTGCTCTATTCTGAGAATTCTTGCCTCTTGAACTCTGAACTCTGTTTCCTCAACTCAGGGAGACCTCCAGGTTATGCATGGGCTGCTTCTGCTTGTGCTGTGACCTTGACATACTCTCTAGACAGTGAGCTGGGGCATTCGTAGTGCTCACATCATTTGTTTACTTTTTCTCATGGATCATTCTCCTTTGCCACCTCTTGTTCAATATCTAAAACTGTTATTTCATGTATTTTGTTCAGTTTTATAAGTTGTTTAGGGTGGGAGGTAAATTTTGGTTCTCATTTCTCTGTAATGGTTGGAAATGGAAGTCTTCAATGACATTATTTTCATTATAAAATGAGCAAACTTGCTGGGCGCGGTGGCTCATGCCTGTCATCCCAGCACTTTGGGAGGCCAAGGCAGGTGGATCACAAGGTCAGGAGATCTAGACCATCCTGGCTAACACAGTGAAACCCTGTCTCTATTAAAAATACAGAAAATTAGCTGGGTGTGGTGGCGGGTGCCTGTAGTCCCAGCTGCTTGGGAGGCTGAGGCAGGAGAATGGTGTGAACCCGGGAGGCAGAGCTTGCAGTGAGCCAAGATCACGCCAGTGCACTCCAGCCCGGGCGACAGTGCAAGACTCTGTCTCAAAAAAAGAAAAAAAAGAAAAAAAATGAGCAAACTTATTTAAGAAAATTTGGAAATTACTTAACACATAAGGAAATAAAAGCAAAATGCCCATTGATCATTCACCAAACACATGATATGTTTGTCTATTTCTTTCATGTATTGTGTTTCCTATAATTAGCTTGCTTTAATTTTTTTCAAAAATGAATATATGAATATGGTATTTAAAATACAATTTTAATACTTAAATTTTATTTAATTAAAAGTGATTTCATGATCACTTTCCTGTGTTCTTCCTTAGCATCATTTATAAAGCCTGCACAATACTCCAACATGTAGACGTGTGTGGTAGATTACTTAACCTTTTATTTACAAATAGACATTTAACTAGTTCCCACATTTTGTTACTATAATTGATAAATATTTTTACATAGGGATTTTTGTTTAAGATGAATGATTTACTTATGTTATATTAGAAGTAGTCAATATAAGTATTTTAAGGTATTCAATTCATTTTGCCAGATTGATTTCCAAAGGGCTGTATCAATTTAAAATATTTTATTCACCACTCCAAATACAATTATAAAGTACTTATTCTCTACCACTCACTGTGCCAGGTTCTGGTGATGTAAGATGATCAATACCCTAACTCTGAGTTCTACGAGTTTATAGCCTTTTAGTTGTAGAGACAAACATGTAAATAGATGAGTGCTACAAAGCATTATGGGCACTCTACAGACATGTGAACGGGACACAGTGGGTTACGTAGGGCAAATAAATGTGTCTATTTCATCTAGTATGGAATCTGATGAACAGTAGCGATTTAATCAAAAGTTGTTGAAAAAGGCACAGAGAGAGAACAAGCAGTTAAAGGAGTGACTATTCAATCCATTTAGTGACTTGTTTGGGAAAAGTATCTTAGAGGAACCTGTGATTTGTAATTAGCATATCATTTATTCTTTCATATATTCATTTTACATGTACTTTTGGCAGTGTGTCAGGGACTG
Source organism: Homo sapiens (assembly GCF_000001405.40). NCBI lineage: Eukaryota > Metazoa > Chordata > Mammalia > Primates > Hominidae > Homo > Homo sapiens. The sequence goes on along the minus strand of NW_014040928.1, from coordinate 116,864 downwards.
TGCTAAGTGCTAAGGACATCATTGCTACTGTTACTGTGGAATTTGCTGCCTGGAAAGGAAGACAGAAAATAAACAAGCAATTAAAATAATGGAGGACACAGGATAGTATAATAGAAGTGAGTCACTTAGTGCAGGGGTCAGTAGAGGCTTTCCACAGGGCATGACAGTTAAGGCATGACTTGAAGGATAAATAAAAGTTAGTTAGAAAAAAAGGGGAAAAGACAGAAAAGTGAAAAATGGTTCCAGGCAGAAGCAATCACATCACTCATCTATATGCAAATAAATGTTTGTCTTATGTTTGAGTTGCTTAGAGATAGTTTATTTGCTTACATACTTTTCACATCCTCCCACCCAGCAATGTGGTTTACACGGTTCTTGGCTTTCTAAACCTTTTCTTTTATGAATAGCACAAAAGTAAACTTCTCCCTAGATCTGATCCAGATTCAAGTTTAATGGGGTCCTAATCCAGAGTTTAAATATGCTGCTTTCGAAACCACCCCATTTGATAAGCAACGCTGCATCCTTTCTGTAGTTGAGGAAACTGAGCTATGAGCTGCAACAGAGGTAGAGCTTTGTTGGGACTGAGGCCTTGCCCCTTACTGGATGGAGGACCTGGGGGGAACCACTTCCCTTCTCCAGGCTTCCACCTCTGCATCTGTAAAAGGGTGTTCCTAATACCTCCCAGGATGACTACATGAGTGACTCAGATAATAAATGTCAAGTCCCTAGTTCAGACTAGCAGTTTGCAATCCTGAGTTCTTTTCCTTGTCCTAAAGGGCCCAGGCACGAAAGCATCAATTTTACTTATTTGTTTTCCTGGGCCCCCTCTTCTAGTTAGCTGTGCCTTTTTGATGCTGTTTGATCATTCTGTCATTCATCTAATATGCTTTGAGTGCCTACTGTGTGCTAGGCAATGTCATTAGGTCCATCTCCCAACTCAGCCTCTCCTGAGAATTGACTACTTGTGATAGCTGAGGGCTCAGAAATCAAAGAGCTAAGCATGCTGTACACAAGGCTGGTGTGAACATCTCTGAGTGAGGACTGGCAAGGCCTGCCCTGCCTTGGAAAGTACTTGGCTGTGTGACTGCCCTTTACACTGCTCTGAGCACTGTCCCCAGACTGCTGGGTTCTCACTTGTCATATCCAACTTACCATAAGACCCTGGAGACATGTGAAGCCTTGCTCTCTGCACAGATGGTGGGGCCATACCAGGAGTGCTCTTGAATAAAACAGGACAAGGACCTACCCTGCAGCATTGCCCTAAGAAGACTTGCAAGCAGAAGATGGTGGGAACTGAACTGTCAACCAAAGAGCTGTGGAATCCACTCCTGGGACTGAGCAGACATTTTCCCAGGCTGACTTACACACTATAGCCACTCATCACAACAGAGAGGGATGGCCCACCCAATACCCTGGCCTGGGTCCCCTGTGAGTTCACGCTGTCTTCCGCCTTTGCAGGGAGATTGTAGCACACATCTCTCCAAGGTTACATCATCTCCTGAAGGCAAGGGCCTCTAGTGAGTTTTTGCTGGCTAAGTCCTCAGGGCAGGACTTGGTGTCCTTGATATAAAACATCTGTCTTGGGAGGCACAGTTGGGAAAGAATGAAGGATTTTTCTGGGAGCTCAACTGGCTCACTGAGCAAAGGCCAGGAGACATTTGGTGAAGTAGCGGAAGGCTGTAATATATAAACAAGATGTGAGTGTGCTTTTCAGGAGTGATGCATATCTATGGAAAGAAACCACAGGCCTCCTTTCTCTTCAGGCATGGGAAGAGAAAAGGACCTTTGTAATCTATGTGTGTTTATTTGTTTGACTCAATGGATAAACAGATATCAATATATTGCTATCTATCTATCTATCTATCTATCTATCTATCTATCTATCTATCTGTCTGTCTTGCCCTGGGGTATAAATGAGTATCTATAAATATCAACTTTTTCCCTGTAAAGTTTGCTGTTTGTACAGCATTCACTCTTTGTATAGATAGCTTCCTCCCATCAAACGCCTCAATGCCCTAAAATCAGTTGGGATGTTTTTCCAAAACTGCTGATAGGCTATCTGTATTTCTAAGGAGATGAAGGAGTTATATAATAGACCTTATTCTCTAACAGAAAAAGGAAGAAGCATGGGAATATTCCAACTAACCTGACTGAGGAGCTTGATAGAAACTTAAGGAAACAAGTCAGAGGATAAGAGCTCAGACTGTAAGAGGAAATGTTACTAAAGAATTTAAATGGCAATTCTGTCCTGGCCTCATTAGCTTTTTAAGATACACGATGTTGGGGCTTACCAGCTGGAGAGGACAATAGAGGAACAATATGAGGAAACAGGTGAAAAGGTTCTTCCTACCTCCCTGGACCTCCTGAGATCAGAAAGAAGGAAACAATCTGAAGATGCAGTGGATTTTCTCCCTTAAGCTTCTTTCTTCGTTCTCTTTTGATATTAATCCAGGACAATGGGTAGAGAAAGAATCTTCGAAACGTTAACTATAAGGCAGGCATGGATACTTAGGATTTTGAAAAATATATATGTTGCCGGTATGTGCACAAAAATGTGTGTGTGTTGCCTGCGGGGTTGCGGAGGTGTGGTTAGTCAAGTTGTCCAGGACAACCAGATCACATCATAATCATCTTTTGAGACTTGGCTTAATGGAAATCCCTTCTTCTTCTCTAAGGCCTTTGCCAACTCCTCTTCCTGACACCCACACAAGATGAAATCTATCTCTTTGTGTATGCACGTCATATATTTGCACAACTTTTATCCCACCTAGAACTCTGACTCTTCCTATAATTGTGGCCAAGGATTGTGTCTCAGTCTTTTTGTAACTAAGCATCCAACATAGTCCCTGATACATAATAATCAAATTGAATAAATTAATACGTGTATATAACTTACTTTCTCCATTTATGTATTCATATGCAAACAAAAAATATTTCATATGTTAGAGATGTAAGGCTACATAACCTCTCTGTGAGGCACATTTGTTGCTTTGAAAATCAATGGAGTCCAAACTTTAAGTCAATGTTTCTCAAGAAGATATTGTGATTCAGTTAGTCTGGGATGGGTATTGTGCTTTTATTTGTACATGCTCCAGATGACTTAAATGTGCTGCTAGGATTATAACTACTGATTTAAGAAGAGAAAGATTTTTTGGGGAGACTTAAATTAATTGATCCCCCCCTCTTTTTAGTGATTTTTATGTCCCCAAAAAATCTGCTGACAAAACTCATAAAGATTATTCTCTTGGTTTATTTTTTTTCCCAGAAGTTTGATAGGTTGAATTTACATCTAGATCTATGATCTATTTCAAATTAATTTTTGTGTTTGGTGTGAGATAGGGGTCCAGGATCATTTACATACAATGATGTAATACAATCAGATGCATTCATTTTAAGTATGCAATTCAATAAGTTTTGACAAATTTATGTACCCATGTCACCACCACAATCTAGATATATAACATTTAGATCACCCCTGAAAGTCTTCCTGTTTCACCTTACAGTCAACTCTTTCACCTCTGACTGTGGGCAGTAGTTGATCTGAGGCCTTTGCCAACCCATCTTCCTGACACCCACACCAGGCCTCCTTTTCTGTCACTATGAGTTAGTTTAGCCTTTCTAGATGGAATCATACGCTATGTAGTTTTTGTCTAGCTTCTTCACTTGGTATATTTTTTTAGATTCATCCATAGTGTGCCATCTATCAACAATTTGTTTCTTTTCATTGCTAAGTAGTATTCCATTGTATGGATATAGCACAATTTGTTTATCCATTCATCTCTTATTGGTTTTGGGGGTCGTTTCCAATTTATAGCTATTATGAGTTAGTTGCTATGAATACTCATGTGCAAGTCTTTGTATAAACAGATATTTTTCTTTCTCTTGGGTAAGTACATTTGATTAGATTGTTAAGTCCCATGGTAAGTATATGTTTAACTTTTTAAGTAGTGGTCAAGCTGTTTTCAAAATAGTAATGACATTTTACATTTTGACCAGCAATTTAGCAGCCCTCCTTGTCAACACTTGGAGTTGTCTGGTTTTTTTTTTGTTTGTTCTTAATTTTAGTCATTCTAGTGGGTGTATAGTGGTATGTTATCATCATTTTAATTTGCATATCTCTGATGATTTATCATATTGGGCAACTGATCGTTTGCTCATTGGTCTTTTGTATAATTTCCTTTGAGAAGCATCTGTTCAAACCCTTTGCTCATTTTTAAATTGGTTTTGTGTCCTCTTACTAATGATTTATAAGAGCTATTTATATACTCTGGATGCATATCTTTGTCAAATACATGCATTGCAATTATTTTACCCCAGACTGTGTATTGCCTTTTTCATTTTCATAATAGCATCTTTTGAAGAGAAAGTTTTTTACTTTTTGAAATACAGTTTATCATTTTTTCCATGTTGGTTTGTGCTATTTGTGTCCTAAGAAATATTTTGCTTAATCCATGGTTGCCAAGATTTTTTCCTATGTTTTCTTATAGAAGTTTTATAATTTTAACTTTATTTTCAGATTTTATAATCCATTTTAGGTCATTTTTGCTTATTGTGTGAGGTAGGAATTGGAGACATTTCCTCCCATTTGATATCCAGTTCTTCCAACACAATTTGTTTAAAATACTCTTTCTTCTCATTGAATTATGTAGTCACATTTTTCAAAAGTCAATTGACCATATATGTGTGTGCCCATTTCTGGATTTGCTATGTTCCATTAATCCATATGGCTATTCTTCTTCTTTTTTTTTTTGAGATGGAGTCTCACTCTGTCACCCAGGCTGGAGTGCAGTGGCAGGATCTCAGCTCACTGCAAGCTCTGCCTCCCAGGTTCATGCCATTCTCCAGCCTCAGCCTCCTGAGCAGCTGGGACCACAGGCACCTGCCACCATGCCCGGCTAATTTTTTTTTTTTTTTTTTTTTGTATTTTTAGTGGAGATGGGGTTTCACCCTCCTAGCCAGGATGGTCTCGATCTCCTGACCTTGTGATCCACCTGCCTCGGCCTCCCAAAGTGCTGGGATTACAGGCGTGAGCCACCACACCTGGCCTATATAGCTATTCTTACACTAATGCCACATTATCTTGATTATAGTAGATTTACAGTGAGACTTGAAATTCTCAAATGTTCTTCTTCAAAATTGCTTTGGCTATTCTGTTTCTTTGCCTTTTTCTATGCATTTTAGAATCAGCTTGTATTTTGATTGGGATTGCACTGAATTTATGAATCAATTTCAGAAAAATTGATATTTTAACGATATTACATTTTTCTACCCATGAGCATGGTATATTTCTCCATTTATTTAGGCTTTCTTTAATTCCACTAAGCAACGTTTGGTAATTTTCAGTGTGGAAGTCTTTCCTGTCTTTCATTACATTTATTCTTTGCATTTTGGAGCTATCATAAGTTGAAATATTTTTTTTAAATTTAACTTTTTATTATGAGATAATTGTTAATTCATATATAGCTGAAAGAAATAATACAGAGAGAGCTCATGTACCATTTCCAATGGTAACTTCTTGCAAAGCTATAGCATAGTATCACAACCAAGACATTGATGTTGATGTAGTCGAGTTATAGAACATCACCATAAGCCTCCCTCTGATTGCCCATATTAACTTGTCTTCTGTACCCGTCCACTCCTTAACCCCTGGAAACCTCTAATCTGTTCTCTGTTTCTATAATTTTGTCATTTAAAGAATGTTGTATAAGTGAAATAATAATGTATGTAATCTTTAGGGATTGGCTTTTCTCACTTAGCATCATTCTCTAGAGATTTGTCCAGATTGTTGCATATATCAATAGCTTGTTCCTTTTATTACTGAGACACTTCCATGGTATGAATGTACCACAGTTTGTTTAACCATTCATCCATTGACAAATATCTGGGTTGTTTCCAGTTTTTGGCTAATACAAATAAAGCTGCTATCAACAGGTTTTTGTGTAAACATAAGTCTTTGTTTCTCTGGGATAAATGCTCAGGAGTACAACTGCTAGGTTACATGTTTAGTTTTTAAAGAAACTACCAAACTATTTTCCAGAGTGACTGTACCATTTTATATTCCTGCCAGGAAAGCATGAGAGATCTCCATTCTCTGCATTCTTACCAGCATTTAATGTTTCACTATTTTTAAATGTTTGTTTTTCTGATAGGTGGGTAGTGGCACCTCATTATGGTTTTAATTTGCGTCCCTAATAGCTAATGATTTTGGACATCTTTTTCATATTCTTATTTGCCATCTGTGTACACTCTCTGGTGTAGTGTCTCTTCCTATCTTTTATCCCGTTTTCCAATTGGATTGTTTGATTTTTTTAATTGCTGTGTTTGAGAATCTTTTGTATTTTCTAGATACTAGCCCTTTGTCATTTATGTGGTTTGCAAATATTTTCTCCGGTCCATAGCTTGCAGAGCAACCGTTTAATTTTGATGAGATTCAGTTTATCAATTTTTCCTTGTATGGATCATGTGTGTGGTGTTAAGTGTAAGCACTCTGCTTAGAATTTTTCTTTTGTTTTTTCTTCCTGAATTTTATAGATTTATGTTTTGATTTAAATCTGTGATCTACTTTGTATGAATTACTACATGAGATGAAGGTATTTATTTTTATTTTGAGACAGAGTCTTGCTCTGTGGGCCAGCTGGAGTGCAATGGTGCGATATTAGCTCACTGTAACATCCGCCTCCCAGATTCAAGAGATTCTTGTGCCTCAGCCTTCAGAGTAGCTGGGATTACAGGTGTGCACCACCTGTAATTTTTAAATTAGCCTGGCTAATTTTTGTATTTTTAGTAGAGACGTGGTTTTGCCATGTTGACCAGGCTGGTCTCAAACTCCTGGCCTCAAGTAATTCATCTGATTTGGCCTCCCAAAATGCTGGGATTACAGGTATAGCCATTGCGCCCAGCAGAGGTTCATTTATTTCTTTTTGCTTGTGGATATCCAATGGCTCCAGTGCCATTTGTTGAATAAAAATCTTTCCTCCATTGAATTGCTTCTGCACTTTTCTGAAAAAATCACTTGGGCATATTCGCAGGGGTCTATCTTGGGGTTCTCTGTTTTGTTCCATTGATATATGTCATTATCTCTTCAAAGATACCATGCAGTCCTGATTGCTATGACTATATAATAACTCTTGAAATAGATTATAGGCTTTTCTATGTAAATATTCAAGTACTCTTGTCTATTTCTATAAAAAGTCTTGCTGGGATTTTGATATGAAGTGCATTAAACCTATATATCAATTTAAAGAAAATTGACATCCTGCCCCTTCATTTATTTAGATATTTGATTTCTTTCATCGGCATTGTGTAGTTTCAGTATATAAGTCCTGTAGATGTTTCATTAGATTTATACCTAAATATTTTATTTGGAGGAATCATAAATGGCATTGTATTTTAATTTTACTGTCCATGTGCTCATTGATAGTATATCAAAATACAATTGAATTTTGTATGTTTATCTTGTATCCTGTGAATTTGCTGAGTTCACTTATTAGGTCCAAGAGGTCCTAATAGATGGTAGGTTCCTTGGGATTTTCCACTTAGACAATAATGTCATCTGCAAACAGAGATACTTATATTTCTTCCTTTCCAATCTACATGCTTTTTATTTCTTCTTCTTGCCTTATTGCACTGGCTACAACTTCCAGCAACGTGTTGAATAAGAGTGATGAGAGTGGATATGCTTGCCTTATTTCCAATTTTAGGGGAAAATTTAGTCTTTCAACATTAGTATAATGTTAGCTGTAGGTCTTTTTGTAGAAGCTCTTTATGAGATTGAACAAGTGGCTATGTTTTTATGATAAGTAGGGTTTTAGTGTTTTTATGATAAATGAACACTGAACTTTGTCAAATGCTTTTTCTGCAAGATTGACATTATCATGCTGGTTTTAATTTAGCCTGTTAACATAGTGATTTACACTGACAGATTTTGATGTTCAAATGCTAAATTATTTGTGCATCCCAGCGTAAACTCCATTTGCTCATGGTTTATAATTATAAATGTGTGTGTATGTATGATGTTTTATATATTGCTGAATTCTATTGAAGTAGATTTTTGCAACTATATTCTTGAGGGATATTGGTCTGTAATTTTCTTTTTCTTTCTTTCTTTCTTTAAACTTACTTTTAAAAAATTCAGGGTAATTGTATCTATATAGAATGAATTGAAAGTATTCTTTTGTCTTCTATTTTATAGAAAAGATTGTGCATAATTGGTGTTCATTCTACTTTAAACATTTAGTAAAATTTTCCAGTGAAACCATCTGGAGATGGAGATTATTTCTTGGAGGTTTATAAATTATGAATTCAATTTCTTAGTAGTTGTAGTTCTATTCAAATTATGTATGTTCCATACTGGGTGCATTGGTAGTTTGTGTTCTTTGAGAAAGTGGTCCATTTTGTCTAAGTTGTTAAATTTATGTGTGTAGAATTGTTTGTAATATCCATTATTAATCTTTGATGTCTGCAGGGCCTATATTGATATCCTTTGTTTCACTCTTGATATTGGTAATTTGTATTTTAATCTTTTTTCTTTCTCAATCATGTTAGAGATTTGTCAATTATATTAATCTTTTCAAAGAACCAGGCTTTGGCTTTGTTGATTTTCTCTATCTTTTTTCTGATTTCATAGATTTCTGCTTATATCTTTATTATGTTCTTCCTTCTGCTTGCTTTGAGTTTATTTCCTCTTATTTTTCTAGGTTTTGAGACAGGGGCATAGATGATTAATTTGGGACCTTTCTTCTTTTCTAATATATGTATTTAGTGCTATAAAGTTTACTCTCATCACTGTTTTAGCCGTGCTCCACACATTTTGCCACATTATATTTTCATTTTTATTCAGTTGAATGTATTTTTAAAGTTTCTTTGCAACTTTCTCTTTGACCCATGGATTATTTATAAGTGGGTTGTTTAATTCCCAAGTGTTGGAGATTTTCCTGTTACGCTTCTGTTTTTAATTTCTAGCTCAATTCCATTGTAATCAGAGAACACACTCTTAATAATTTCAACTCTTTTAAATGTGTTGGGTTTTGTTTTATGCCTAAAATGTGGTCTATCTTGATATTGTTAGGTAGGGACTTGAAAAGAATGTGTATTCTTCTGCTGTTTGGTGGTAATCTATAAATATCAATTAGATCCTATTTGTTATGGTGTTGACTTCTTCTATATCCTTGCTGATTTTCTGTCTAGTTGTTCTATCAATTGTTAAGAGAGGTAGTCAAGTCTTCATTTATAATTGTGGATTTGCTTATTTCCTCTTTCTGTTCTTTTGGGTTTTGCTTCATCTATTTTTGTGGCTCTTTTGTTTAGTGCACACACATTCTAGATTGCTATGTCTTCTTTGTGGATTGGCCCTTTTTTCATTATATAATGTCCCTCTATATCTATGATAATTTTCTTTGTTCTGAAGTTTATTTTATGTGATATTAATATAGACACTTTTCACATATACATCATGGAATACTATGCAGCCATAAAAAAGAATGAGTCCATGTCCTTTGCAGGATGGATGAAACTGGGAGCCATCATTCTCAGCAAACTAACACAGGAACAGAAAACCAAACACTGCATGATCTCACTCATAAGTGGGAGTTGAACAATGAGAACACATGGACACAGGGAGGGGAACATCACACACCAGGGCTTGTCAAGGGGTGGGGGTCAAGGGGAGGGAGACCATTAGGACAAATACCTAATGCATGCGGGGCTGAAAACATAGATGATGGGTTGATGGGTGCAGCAAACCACTATGGCACATGTATACCTATGTAACAAACCTGTATGTTCTGCACATGTATCCCAGAACTTAAAGTAAAATTAAAAAGAAAGAAGAGAGGAAAAAATACATAGCCACTTTTGCTTTCCTTTGATTAGTGTTTGCATAATACATCTTATTCCATTCTTTTACTTTTAACCTGCCTATGTCATTATATTTAAAATGAGTTTCTTGTACACAGCATAGAGTTGGGTCACATTTTAAAATTTGTCACAGAACGATGTCTACCTAATACAATTGATGTAATATCAATGTTTCCACCTTGAAGCCCCCAGTAGAGCTAAATAACTCTGCAGAACAAGTAGGTGACCTTGGAGCATATTCTCAATGTGTTTACTTCACTAAAGCACTTCTACGAAAACCCTCTGGATTCTTCTCTTGACAAAACAGATACCTTTCCAGGGTGTCTCCAAGATCCATACTTAAAATATCTTAGGCGTAACTTAGTCATCATAATATGGGTGATTGGTTCTAGGAGACACATATTCAGAACTTTTAAGAAGTTTTCTTAAATGTTAGACTTTACAGAGTTGTACTGAGGGGTGGAAAGTTGAATGTAGTCTCTCAGATTAGCTCATTATTCTTGTCTTATTTGCAAGTGTAGGGCCTTACTTGTCTTTAAGGGAATCTTTGTGAAAATCCTCCTTGACTAATAAAAAGTGTTCTATGTGGATTCCCTTCTCTTCTTCTTAATACTCTCTTTTCTCTTTTCCCTCCAGCAGTCCCTGCTTCTCCTCTCACTCCCAAAATATTTGTCTGCCTTTTGTTCCTGGGCTCTGAGCCTTCCCACAGCCTTTTCTTGTCTTGAAAATCATCAAGCTTTCAGCATGGGATATGAGTCATTGCTTTTTTCCTTCCAACCCATTTTAGGGTACAAAGATTTACCAGTCCTGAGGATGGAAGAAGTCTGAAACGACACGAGAACATTTTTAGTCTGGGTAGAAATATGTTGTCATTTTTCTGATTTTTGTTTTAAATGTCCACTCAAAAAAAAATCAGATATCCTACATGAATAGCTTTGGAAACTTGTTATTTTGAAAAATGTGTTTTTCCCTTTTCTGAATTTTGATTTTGTCATTCAACTCTTCTTGACATATTTATCCTTGGGAGAGTCCATGCCCATCCTGACCTTGACTCTTCCCAATTCCTGTTTTGTCTTCCTTGATGCAGAAGGTAGAGACCATAGCAATTTGGGTTCACTTCACTCTGTGTGTTCAGTGCCTTTTCTTATCCTGGTTTTTTGGCGGGTTTTGTTAAGCCATGCTAGACTTGCCTTTATGTCACACAAATCTACACAGTGTTAAAGTAACAATTAAATCTCCCATCTCCTAAAAATGAGTTTTAATTATCAAGAGGGGTGTAAGACCTAGGAGATGAAATGAACCCCTCCACTTGGGGCTACTGCAAAAGAGAGGGTAAGTTTAAGGGATGCAGTGTGAGTCCTGAAAGAGACCCCAGGAAGCCACAGCTCTTGGGTTTATAGCCTCGACTCTAAAATCTGCCCTGAAAATGCCCCATTTTACTCATTCCACCCCCGGATAGTAAGCTGCAAATTACTGGACAAATTCTTAAAATTCCAACCCAACTGAAGCTGCTGCCTGAAATGGAATTACCCAGAGGCCCCAGAAGCAGGAGAGGCAGGGATAGTGCAGAGCAGAGCTGGGAGAGCCTCCAGCTCCAAGGCAGCATCTGTCTTCCTGGCTTTGATGCCCTGACAGCCCCGTAGCTGTCTAGCGTGTGTCCTGACCTCAGTCTTCTTCTCAGGACTTTCAACCATGAGGGCAGTTGGCCTTTTCTTTCTCTAGGCCTCTCATCTCTTACACTATGACCTGGCTCCCCTGGACTTCCTGAAACTCAGTCCCCTTTCCTGGCTCAAGCTCAACAAAGTGTACTGAGCCCATCTCAATTGCTGGCACACTATTCTCTTCCTACCTGAAGAAGGGATTCTAAACTCATATGACACACCTCTCTGGGATATTGTGAGGCTAAAATGAGCTAAAAGGACATTTTTAGTGGTGGCAATAGAGGTAGAGATAATTAGTGGTGGTAGAAGTAGCAGTTGCTAGCACTGAGTAAACAGTAAGTGGCCACCAACCTTCAGAAGAAAGAGCCTTGGGCTCTAAATTTATTAGCTCAGAACCAGTGGCACAGATATAAATTCTACTTCCAGTCCTGGAGTGCAGGAGACTAAAGGTCCTAGGAAACCCTACTCTAATACCCAGTCACAGGCCTGTGTCTATAACTCTTTAACAGTCATTAAAAATGTTTCTGCTTATTCAGCAAGGCACATTTACTGAGGGATTAGGAAAACTCATAAAACATTGCACTCTATTCAAAGTCTTCTTCAGATAAACTCTCTAAAGCTTTGAAGTATCCACTTGCCAAGGGTTTTTCATTACCCCTTATCCCCTTGGCAAAGTGCCTGTGTGTGTGTATGTGTGTGTGTGTGTGTGTGTGTGTATGTGTGTGTGTGTATGGTATTTTTTTGGTAGGGGAGGGTCTTAATAGCTCTAAAGATCTACCCATACCACAGAGATGGGTGGGAAATATTTTTATTTTAGAGTCTATCAATACAGAATATTCAGTCATTCCATGTAGTTCCATCATTTTTCAAGAGCATAGTATGGTGGGAAGGACACTGGGCTGGGATTCGGAGAAGTGACCCCTAATGGTGGCTCTGCCACCAGCTAGTTATATAACCTTGGGTAAGTCACTCCCCTTTCCAGGCCTTGCATTCATCATATATACAGTTAAGCAGGGGACAGATGAGCTCTAAGCTTCACTTAGCTCTAACTGATTTGATTTTCAGCTGAAGACTTGGTCACATGCAGTGCTTCCCCAACTCCCAGCAGGACCTGGGGACCTGCAGAGGACAGCAGAGCATTCAGAGAGAAGGACATCTGAATTAACTTTTCAGCACGATTCATGAAATGTTAATCAATCTTGTTTGTTTTTATAGTGGAGGGTGTGTGTAAGCATGAGAGTGTGTGTTTGTGTGTGTGTACCTAAGCTTGTGAGTTTATGTGAACATGAACCCAGAGGACTTTTTTTTTTTTTTTTAAAGAACTAAGAGTGTCTTTAGGGGTCATCTAATCCTGTGCTTTCAAACTCTTTATAGACAGCATAATCTTTTCTTCAGTGACATTTTAGCAGACCTCGGACACGTATAAAAGACAAAAGTAGAGCTCTGGCTCCAGGGACACGGAACCCCCGTCTGTCTCTTGGTCCTTCTCTCTTTCCACCTGCCTCCCACCTGGACTTCTAAGGCTCCACAGAACGCAGAGCTTCTGGGCACCTGGATGAACGGTTCACATGGGAGTCAACAGTGGCTCAGAGAGGCCGGGATTTGCTCAGAGGAATACACGCAACTGGTTTGGAAGCTGGGGTTTTGATACCTGTCCTGGGATCTTTGAACCCGTCATGTTATATAATTCTTTCTTCATCACTATCATAGGCTCTCTGAGGATGGCAGGAGTTTAAAAGCTAATAGTCATAGTAGCATCTGTGTTAAGATTCAAGGAGCTATGGGCTTGTCATCCTTTGACTCAGTACACAGGATACTCTTTTTGTGCAGACAAATATGTCCTTCTTCCTAAAGTGCTTTTTAAACAGAGCTACATAAAAAAAGGTTTTTTTAAAAGCTTATTTCACCTCATGTCCATTAGGATGATAATCATAAAAGTCAAGAGATAAAAAATGTCAGCAAGGGTGTGGAGAAAAGGGAAAAATTGTACATTGTTGGTGGAAATGTAGATTGGCGCAAGCATTATGGAAAACAATATGGAGGTTCCTAGACAAATTAAGAAAAACCTAAGCCACATGGTGAGTTCACATCTCTACAAAAAACTAAAAAATTAGCCCAGCATGGTGGCACATGTCTGTAGTCTTAGCTACTTGGGAGGCTGAGGTGGGAGGATGACTTGAGCATGGGAGGTTGAGGCTACAGTAGCCATGATCATGCCACTGCACTCCAGCCTGAGCAATGAAGTGAAACCCTGTCTCAAAAAAATTGATTAAAAATAGAATGACCATTTAACATAGTAATCCCTCTTCTGATTATATACCCAAGGAGATGAAATCACCACCTCATAAAGATATCTGCACACCCATGTTTGTTGCAGCATTATTCACAATAGTCAAGATATGGGAACAACCTAAGTGTCCATCAATGGACAAATGGATAAAGAAACAGATATATGTGTCCTCTGACTCAGTACACAGGACACTCTTTATCTATCTATCTATCTATCTATCTATCTATCTATCTATCTATCATCATCTAGCTATCCATCCAATAGAATGTTATTCAGCCTTAAAAAAGGAAATCCTGCCATTTGCCACAACTTGGATGGAACTGGAGGATATTACACTAGATGAAGTAAGCCAGGCATAGAAAGAAAAACATTTTATGATATCACTTGTATGTAGAATCTAAACCAAAATTAAAGTCAAATATACAAACACAGAGAATAAAACAGTAGTTACCAGGGGTTAGGGAAAAGGGGAACAAATGGGAAGATGTAGGTCAGAGGTTATCAAGTAGCATATATTAGAATGAATAAGCCTAGAGCTCTAATGTACAGGAGGACTGTAATTAATAAAATTTTATGCATTTAGGAGTCCTGTTAAATGAGTAGATTTTAGCTGCTCTTACCAAACAAAGGGGCAGGGCAATGGGGATAACTCTGTGAGATGCTGAATATATTTGTTTTATTATAGTAACCTTTTTACTATCTATATGTATCCCATAACATAATGTTGTATACCTTAAATATACACATCATATTTTAAATTTTATTTTTAAAAGTAAATGCTATTGTGTATCTTTTTTAATGTAAAGATTTATTCCATATAAAAACTTTTAAAAAAATGGTTCAGGAAGAGGCAAAATGAAATGTTTTTACTTGCTCATTGGGGAAAATGTTCACGGAACTTCAGCACCACCAGCAGAGTAAGCTGACAGTAGCATACAGAAGTATGAGGGCTCCTTGGTATGACCTCGGTGCACTGAGATTTTCTGGGAAAATCTGTATCAGTAATCATAGTTGTATAGCTCCAGGGTCCAACTCTAGATTGCAAAATATTTCCCCTTTTGGACTTCAACTCAACAATAATTCAACAGTGTGACAACTCAGTAGGAAACGGACCTTGAACAAGAGTGATAGGTATCTTTAGCTTGGCCTGGGCTGCCCAGGAAGCTTAGTGGCAGATAAAGTAATCACACCCTATGGCCTTCCGCTCTCACAAAAGAATCACTTGCATTGTGCAAGCCAAGCATATTTCACACAAAACCTTGTTTCCACTTTTCCTCTAAAGTGGTCTTTGGCAGTTTTTTCAGTTCCTAACATTCTGTTTTGGTCACAAACAAACCTCTGCTGTGCACTTTATGGGTGTGCTGAACCACTGAGTATTAGAGCTGAAATCGGCCTCAGAGATCATCAAATCCAATCCTGTCATTTCATAGCAAAGGAGTCAGAGGTAGAGGGAGAGGAGATGACTTGTCCAAAGTCACACAGTGAGAGAAAAGCAGAACCAGGTCAGGAGCTGAGCTGCTGTCCTGATGTGAAGCACTTTTTCATGACTCTATGCCACTTCTGAATTAGCCACAACACCATGAGGGGAGATGTCTTCCATATGGCTCAGGGGTGTGGTATTTGCCGTCAGACAATAGTTATTTATTGAGCACCCACAACATGCTAGGGAAACCCTTCAATAGGCTTACAGTCTGGAGGGGAAGACATACATTAAACAAAGAATCTTAAATGAGTAAGTGCATTAGTGTTGCCAACCATTCAGTGAAGAATGCATTAGTGTTGCCATGGGAATGTTATCTCCAGGGCTGATTGGGGCTATGTCCAGGGCCAAATCTGATTGGTTGATCCTGTGAGTTAGTAGTTAAATATTAATATGTTGGCTCACCCTAGGTTATGGGCCAAAGATTGTTTACATAATGCACGGGTTACTTCACCCATCTGATTCTGCTCCTCTTGGTTTCTTCTTCCTGATGATTCTACCTCCAGGAAGACAGGTAATGCAAAAGAACTAGAGTTCCTACAAACAGTCTTGTTCTCGCTCAGAACTGCTTTGACAGCTGGAGTAGTGAAGTCAACATTTGAATTATCTGTGAGTCCCATGTATTTGTGCTCTCCTCAGGATGGAGCAGGCTGGATTTTTTAACCTGATATCCCATTTACACAGGTCTTACACTCCTTACATTGATATCAAAACTAAAACAGTGACTTCAAAATTGAACACAAACCTGAATTTTGAATATTAATCACTCCTCGTCTCCAACACTCTCTTCCATCCCTACTAACATTTTTGCAAGCCATTCCTAATTCAACTGCTCTTCCAAATGCAGTCAGCACCGAGGAAGAAGTCCTCTCATGAATCTTTTTGGAAAAGGAGCTCTCATGCCCAAATTCCTTATAATTCCAGGAGCATGTCAAGAAGAAATTGTTAAAGAAAATTTCTACACAGTGGACTTCCCATTGGAGAATGAATCACAGGACATTTTTCTAAATCAAGAATGTTTGAATTTGGGGTGTGGGTCACACCTGGAGAAGCCCTCCTCTTCGTCTCTTCCTGGTTTACTTTCTATCCTGGGAATTTCCCCTTCCTCTTTCTTTTCCATCTAGTTTGTGAGGTTTCCCTGAACCCCTTCCTTATTTCCCCTTTGTCCCCAAGTTCATTCACATTATTCTCTTCTTCTGCAATGACTCCCTCCTGGCCTTTGCTGGCTTTCCCTGCATCTTCATGGGTGGCCTTGTCCCCCTCCTCCCACTTCCCAGTCTTCTCCCTTCCTCCCCTATCCCCAAACATGAGAGCTGCACAAAAGCTGGAACTATGCAGCAAAGGGGGAAAGAGCAAGGCTTCCTCTCCCAGCATTTCCTTCCCCTGGCCAGCAAGTGCCTCAGGGATAGGGCGCTGGCTTGCCTGGCAGAGGACAACGTGTCCAAAGCAGGTTGGCTGTGAATCAGTCTTCAGCTTGGGTCAGTGCTTTCTCTCTGTTGAGAAATTGGGCCAAGTTTGGCCAAAGGCCCATTCGAAGTCCAGTTCTGGAATACGTGTCTATTCCTCATCTCCGTCTACTTTCCCCAGAGATCCCAAGAGGCCAGACAAGCTGTTCCCACACCAGGCTCTCATCAGGGTGGCTTGACATCACTTTTCCTCTCCAGGAAAATAATTACAGTTGAACTTTCCTTTAAGAAAATCCAATGTAGATTTAGAATTAGAGAATAATGTCTCTTTTTACAAAAAGTTTTACCATGGGAGTGGTTTCAATAGAACATGCCTGTGTTACACCGAAAACATGATTCAATCTGCAAATGTTTTGAAGCTACTTTCAGGAATATATTTATTGAGTAAAGTAAGGCACACAATGCAAGCAAGTCATTGTCCAACCAGGGGGAAGACAGAGCCAGCCTTGCCAGGTCACCTTGCTTTTATCCTGACCTTCTACCTCATATTGTCTCCATCTCTTCCTGCTGTTCTTTCCTGTTCTTCCCACAGGTCTAAGGTGTGGCTACAAAATGTAACAAAAACACTTGCTGGACTGTAGCAAGGTAGGCATTAAATACATATTATTAATATTAAAATAACCTGACTTGAATCACACATCTAAAAGAGTATTGTCCTCTAAAGTAATCATGCTTAAATTTATTGCAATGATGCTGTTATTACTTAAAACCCCATTCTGGAATGTATTTACTTGAATTACTTTGGAATTATATCCAGATCCAGTTTATGAGCCAGACAAAAAATTATAGAGAGGCCTTAGGAATCATCTGGGGCATCCTTAATTTTATAAATGAAGAAAGTGAGCCCACAGAGTTTGTGTATTTGTTTTTCTCCAACACCAAGAAGTTGTTACTCACTGGGGATGGTGGCTCATGCCTGTAATCCCCACATTTGGGGAGGCTGAGGTGAGAGGATCCCTTCAGGCCATGAGTTTTAGACCAGCCTGGGCAATATAGCAAGATGTCATCTCTACAATTTTTTTTAAATTAGCCTGGCATAGTAGTACACACTTGTAGTCCTAGCTACTCAGAAGGCTGAGGTGGGAGGCTCATTTGACCGTAGGAGTTCAAGGTTGCAATGAGCTAGGATTGCACCACTGCAGTCTAGCCTGGGTGACAGAGTGAGACCCTGCTTAACAAAAAAAAAAAAAAAAAAAAAAAGAAAGAGAAAGAAGAGAAAGAAAGAAAGAAAAGTTGTTAGCTTATTTTTGTTGTAGAATAAACCAAAAAGTGACAGCATTGTTCATTAATCTTTGATTAATAAACCAAATGCCTTTATTAAGCCTGAAAACATTATAAAACCTACTACTTATTAAACATGTCACCATGTGACAAACCTGTGCCAATCACTTATCACAACAAAAAAGAACACACACCCATGATATGAGAATGTCCAATTTATGGAGGAGGTAAATAAGACTTTGACATTAAAAGTGACATGCTAAGAACCACACAGTTAAGACGTGACAGTCAGTGGTAGACTTGGGCCTGGGTATCTCTGCTTTCAAAGCCTGTGAGCTTTTCACAATTCTGTGTTGCACTAAACAAACCAAGAAGCTGTTGTTTGCAGAATGAGAAACTGTCAGACATTGTTATTATTGTGAAAACTAAGAGAGCTTGCAACTTTAAACAAAGTGTTGCTCACAAATCACACACATAACCACTCTTACATACATAGTTTACAAGAGATAGTCGACTGCTAGAGCTGGAGAGAAGATTGAAAAGAATCTAGATCAAGCATTATTTTGTAAGGAAAGAGACTGGAGTCTAGAGAGTCTCAGACCTTGTCCTGAGTCTCATCAGTAGCAAGTTCTAGGGCCAAGACTGATGTCTTCCATCTGACAGCCAAAGCTTTCTCCATCATGCCAGTTGAGGACTCTCACAGGCACACCCTTGAGCTCTGGGGCAACAACCCAAAGTTGTCACCCAACTCAGTCACATCTTAACTCCTTCTCAATAAATCATTCTCATGTGTTGAAAAAAGTGTCTTTAAGACAACATATTCAAATATTGCCTAACTTCTAAAACTGATAGTTTCTATGTCTTCCCATTGACAACTGGAGCAGAAGCCAACTCATTCAGATTAACTGTCATTCTGGAAAACTAATTATAGACATTTACAAAGAAAATCACATGAAAAAAAACAAAAGGAGAACATAAACAGTATTGGAATCCCATTTCTGTAGCCATCTTCTTTCATGAATTAGGGCCCCAAAGCAGGGAGCAGTTTACTGGCTTACCCAAGTCAAAGCAGTTAGTTGAGGGCAGATCCCAGAAGGTAACTGATTATCCTTTCCGACTGACAGCTCACTGCTTTCCACAATGCTGTCAAGTTCCTTCTCATGCCTTATGTTTCTGAGTGAAAAGGGTCTTTGCCTGCCATGACTGAGATGCCTCATAACTGCTGTGAAAAATCAAGTCCACTCTAGAAAAGCAAAACATTGCCACTATATTGGAGCTTCTTATAAGATTTTGCCTCTTTTGGGGTGTGAGCACAGCAGGAGAAACATGGCCACACAGACGAAAGCCACATTTTAGGGACAGGCATTATACACTGTCACGACTCACACTGTGTATAAAGTGAATTTGGATGGCTCAGAGAGAGATCAGATTTCATCCCCCAGGGTTTGCTATGGAATTTCTCTTCTGGAAGCTAGAATGGATAGTCTGGAAGCTAGAATGGATAGAATTGATATGCTGTTCGTTGAGGCTTGGCTCTGCATGCAGCCTGAGCAAGCCACCATGAGAGTAAACAATAAAGAAGAGAACGAACCTTGTGTTCCTTCAAGGGCACAGAGTAACTTGCTCATGTTGCATCATCTCCTCTTCCAGTGGATAGTCAACTCTTTAAGAGCCGAGACCATGTCTGAGTCATCTGTGTGCCCATCACCTAGCACAGAACGTGTGGATGCTTACACTAAATATTCACTGAATGAATAAGTAGGTGAATTTCACCTATGAGATAAAACAAGTAGATAGCAACATAAAGGGCTTCAAGTCTTTGCTCTAAAGATAATGCAGATAGCAAGTGCTGTTGGAGGTCAGAAGAAAAGTGGGCTACAAGGCCTCTTGGAAGTGTAGGACCTCAACTGGGCCCAGAAAGATGACTCAAGTTTGGTCAGTGCTAGAAGCTAAGGTGGCTATACTCCAAGCAGAAAAAAATAATGGAAGTGAATGAGCATCAGTGGAAACTAATGGAGTGGTAGGCAAAGCTTGGGTATCTCCACCTGGCTGTCCTAGACAGTTTCCTTCAAATCAGCATGCCCAAAAATGGAGGTCTCATATTTCCTCCCAAACTACTCCCTGCCCCAGTTGGAAAACCTACAGCCTAGGCTTGAAACCTGGAAGTCACTTTTCTTTCCATCACAACTAATCCAGCATTAATTTGAGATGTATCTGCCTTATAAATATTTCTTGGTTCCATTTCCTTCTCCCCACATGAATACCCGTGGTCCTAGCCCAGGGTGGCATTGCCTGTCCCATTGCCACTGTTTCTAACTGGTCTCCCTGCCCAAATCACCTACACAATAGGTGATTTCTCATTCCAAAAATGTGATAAAAATTACTATACCATAAGAGAGCACTGTAGAAATATATGCATATAAATGTTCTCTCTATATTTGTAAATGTGGATAGATATATATGCATATGTGTGTATGTAGATATATGTATAGCTATGGTCTGTATTGCTTAAACTATATGTGTATATATACACACTTATGCATATATACACATAATTATACACACACATATATATAGCTGTAGATACACACATACACATACATGAAGGGGGAGTGTATATGTCAGGAAGTCAGGAGAAAGAGAAAATAAGGATAGAATAAGAAAAGGCCAGATAAAAATGTAGGACACAAATATGTGTGACGTAAAGTGCGACATGGTGGCAAAGGAACCTCTCACTTATGCTCTAATTTCCTAGTGGACAATAAAAAGAAGATGAGTTGAGTTACCTAGTTTTCATTGCCAATAAGATTTTTAAAACTCACACTCTCTGATAAAGTAGAAGCAGAACATTTTTTAGCAATAAGATATGAGAAAAATGTGTCTCTTGAGATCCCTTAATGGAGGCATTGTCTGATGTAATGGACAAGACCTCAATAACATCCCTAAAGCAAATATGACAGCAAATGTATGAAAAATGCTATCTCTTAACTCAAGCTTAATACATAACAGTAAAATACAATTCAAAATACAATTTCAAAATAGATTTAAGCAATTCAGACCAATTCTGCTGCTCTCCTGTGGTCTCTCTTGATCTGAGGTCAGGGGCTGTAGATTATATGATTGTATGATTGGCATGTGCTTTAGGAAATATTTTGTAAATATTTGTTTGTATAATTGACTTCCTGTTAAAAGTTGGCCTTATGCTAAAAGACAATGAAAAACAAAAACCTTTATTCCATATCACCTAAGGTATTTTTTTAATTCTCAGGAAAAATAAGACCAGGAAAAAATTACCCCACAATGTTAACAGTGGGACTCTGGGTGGTGGGTGTGTATATTAACTTTTTTTCTTATTGCTATTCATACTTTTCTGAACATTTGAGTAGAATTACTTTGGCTTCTGTGTTGAGAATAGACTGGGGTGGGGAGAGCAGCAGGAAGGAGACCAGGCAGGAAGCTTCTTATTGGCTACATTTTCAGAAAAATGGGAAATGTATATAGTATTTATTTTTATATAAAAACTTTTTTAAAGTACCATAGACCTTGTAACTTCAACTATTTTTAAATATGAACATAAAAAGGACTGGAGGAATATATCCCAAAATGTTGCTAGTAATGGTCTCCATTTGATAAGTTGATGTATAATTTTTTCTTATCGATTATGCCTTTGTATATTTTCCAACGTTTCTACAATGCACATGTGTGAGTTTTACAGTTTGAAAATGTAAGAAAATGTGTTTCCTGAGATAACAATTCTGGAACTGTTTTAACATAAAAGGGGAGAATAATTTATCCAAAGTGTACTCTGTTTCTCCCAAAAAATCATCAATTCATTGACTTCTCATTGCCTATTAAATAAAACACGAGTCCTTTAATGTGAGTGGCGAGGCCCTTTAGGACCTTGTCTACTTCTCCAGCTCCCCACTTCTCGATTTATCTGTCAGCAACACCACACTCCCTGTAGCTCTTCTGTGCTGCAAGCCTTTATTCGTGCTGTACTCTTTCCTAGAGCACCCTCCCCTGACTTTCTTTCCCCTCCTCTCAATGCACACCTCACTTAGCTAATGTAGTCACAATTGAGCCCAGTTGTCCCCTTCTCTGGGAAACCCTCCTGAGCCTCTCTTCTCTGCACAGCCACCTCCAGTCAGTTTCCATGCGTAACACCTTCATAACCCCTATCACAGTGAAATTAAATACATTTACCTCTCTGTCTCCCCTCCAAGTGAACTATGCACGTCATTCATCTTTGCTTACCTGGCATGAGTATTGTTGAATGTCACAGAGGTGTTCCATGATCTTTCTCACACAGATTACAAGAGGATCAAAGGCCCAATTCCCCTCTGTTCTTCTCAACACAGCCTGTGCTTTATTCTGTGGAAAGGCACAGGATGTCTGACAATGATCAAAATCACTTGTGATGAGACCGTGGTAGTCACGTGAGGGGTCTCTTTCTGGGCCTATTGCTGTCCCTCCATGTTCTTGGATGCTGTATGTGAACTCACAGACCCCTGAAGCTCCAACTTCTTTATCTGATGGATGAGGCCCTTGGTGTCCAGAGGCTGTGACTTATCCCTGGCTCCAGAGCTGATGGGCTTTATTTTGTCCTTCAATTTCAGTGCATTTTCCACATCACGGATAGGTAGGCAATTCTGTATGAGAATATAATCAAGTTTTTTACTGATACATAATATTTGTGCATATATATGGAGTACACGTGTTATTTTCTTACATGCATAGAATGTGTAATGATCAACTCAAGGTATTTAAGGTGTCCATCACTTGAGTATTTATCATTTTTATGTCTTGGGAATATTTCAAGTCCTCTCTTTTAGATATTTTGATATATACATTATTGTTAACTATAGTCACCCTGCTCTGTTATCAAACATTAGAACTTATTCCTTCTATCTAACTGTATGTTGGTATGCTTTAGCCAACCTCTCCTTATCCCCCCTTCACACCCACAAAGGTTTCCCAGTCACTGGTATTGATGCAAGATAGGCAAACCCCCAAAACTGGGGCTTAGCCAGGGAGGGTTCTCGGCTTTGCCCAGGAAAGAATTCAAGGGCAAGCTGGTGGTGTCAGACAGCAACTTTTATTGAAGCAGCAGTGTACAGCAGAAGCAGAGGTACTGCTCCTTGCAAAGCAGGGCTACCCCAGAGGCAGTATGCCCAGAATGGCAGCTCAGAGGCAGTTCTGCACTCATATCTATACCCACTTTAATATATGCAAATTAAGGGGCAGTTTATGCAGAAATTTCTAGAATGAGGATAGTAATTTCTGGGTTGTCACCATGGAGAGGGGCAGTAACTACCAGGTGTTGCCATGGCAATGGTAAACTGACATGACATACTAGTGTATATGTCTTACAGAAAGCTGCTTTTGCCACAGACCTGTTTTAGCTAGTCCTCAATTTGGTCTGGTGCCTTAGCCCTGCCTTGGGAGTCATTTCTGCCTCCTACCTCAGTAGCTATCATTCTACTGTCTACATTCATGAGATTAACCTTTTAAGCTCCCATATATAAGTGACAATATGCAATATTTGTCTTTCTGGCTTATTTCACTTAAGATAACGACCTCTAGTTACATCCATGTTGCTGCAAATGACATGATTTTATTCTTTTTTATTGCCAAATAGTATTCCATTGCATATATATACCACATTTTCTTTATCCATTTGTCCACTGATGGACACTTAGGTTGATTCCATAACTTTGCTGTTGTGAATAGTGCTGCCAAAAACATGGGGTGTAGCTATCCCTTTGATATACTCATTTCCTTTCCTTTGGATAAATATCCAGTAGTGAGGTTGCTGGATCACGTAGTTCTATTTTTAGTTTTTTGAGAAATTTCCATACTGCTTTTCATAGTGGCTGTACTGATTTACATTTACCAATAGTGTATAAGAATTTCCTTTTCTTTACTTTCTCACCAACAACTGTTCATTTTTGTCTTTTTAATAATAGCCATTCTAACTGGAGTAAGATAATATCTCATTATTGTTTGATTTGCATTTCCCTAATGATTAGTGATGTTGAGCATTTAAAAATATACCTGTTGGTTATTTAATGTTTTCTTTTAAGAAATGTCTATTCATGTCATTTGGCCACTTTTTATGAGTTTATTTGTTTATTTTCTGTTGAGTTGTTTGCATTTCTTGTATATTCTGGATATTAGTCCCTTGTTTGATTTATAATTTGCAAATATTTTCTCCCATTTTATAGGTTGTCTCTTCACTCTGTTTATTGTTTCCTTTGCTGTGCAGAAACTTTTTAGTTTAATATAGTCCTTTTTGTCTATTTTTGGTTCTGTTGTCTGTGCTTTTGAAGTCTTAGCCATAAAATCTTTGCCTAGACCGATGTCTTAAAGTGTTTCCCCCAAGTACTCATCTAGCAGTTTTATAGTTTTAAGTCTTACATTTAAGTCTAATTCATCTTGAGTTTATTTTTTTGTATCTATGGTGAGAGACAGAGATCTAGTTTCATTCTTCAGCATGTGGCTATCCAGTTTTTCCAGCAATATTTATTGAATAGAGTGTCCTTTCTCCAATGTATGTCCTTGGTGCCTTTGTTGAAAGTCAATTGGCTGCAAATACATCAATTTATTTCTGGTTCTTTACTCTTTTCTGCTGGTCCATGTGTCTGTTTTGATATCAATATCATGCTGTTTTGGTTACTATAGTCTTGTAACATATTTTGAAGTTAGGTGGTATGATGCCTTCAGCTTTATTCTTTTTACTCAAGATTGTTTTGTCTATTTGGTCTCTTTTTTGGTTCCATAGAAGTTTTAGGATTTTTTTTCTATTTTTGTGAAAAATGACAATGGTATTTTGATAGAGACTGCATTGAATCTGTAGATGTGTTTGGGTAGTATGGTCATTTTAATGATATTAATTATTCCAACCCAAGAACATGGGATGTCTTTCTATTTGTTTGTGTTCTCTTTAATTTCTTTCATTAGTGTTTTGCAGTTTTCCTTGTAGAAATATTTCACTTAACTAGTTAAATTTATTCCTAGGCTTTTAGTTAGTTTTTTCTGTAGCTATTGTAGATAGAATTACCTTCCTGATATCTTTTTCATCTAATTCATTATGGGGGTATAGAAACACTACTGATTTTTGTTTGTTGATTTTGTATTCTGCAACTTTGCTGAATTTATTTATTACCTCTAAGAGCTTTTTGGTTTTCTAGATATAAAATCGTATCATCAGCAAAGAGGGACAATTTACTTCCTCTTTTCAAATTTGGATGCCTTGTATTTTTCTTTCTTGCCTGATTTCTTTGGCTAGGACTTCCAATATTGTGTTGAATAGGAGTAGTGAAAGTAGGCGTTCTTGTCTCTTTTCAGTTCTTAGAAGAAAATCTTTTAGTTTTTCCCCATGTTAGCTGTGGGTTTGTCATATATAGCTGTTATGTTGAGATATGCTCCTTCTATGCCTAGTTTATTGAAAGATTTTAATGAAGTTATATTGGATGTTAATAAATGTTGTTTTCTGTGTCTGTTGAGATGATCATGTGGATTTTGTCCTTCATCTGTTGATGTAATGTATCACATTTATTGATTTGCATATGTTGAGCCATCCTTGCAACCTGGGATAAATCCCACTTGATCATGGTGTATTGTCTTTTTGATATGCTGTTGCATTTTGTTTGCTAGTAATTTGTTGAGGATTTTTGTCTCTATGTTCATCAGGGATATTGGCCTGTAGTTTTCTTTTTTGTCACATCCTGGTCTGGTTTTGTATCAGGGTGGTGCTGGCATTATAGATTGAGATAGGGAGAATCCCTTCTTTTTTAATTTTTTTGTAACAGTTTGAGGAGAATTGGTATCAGTTCTTTGTAAGTTTGGTAGAATTCAGCAGTGAATTTATCTGGTCCTGAGCTTTTGTTTTTTTGGAAGAATTTTTATTACTGATTCAATTTTTCTACTCATTATTGGTCTGTTCAGGCTTTTTATTCTTTCCTGATTCAATCTTGGTAGGCTGTATGTGTCCAGAAATAGATCCATTTCCTCTAAATTTTCCAGTTTGTTAGTGTATAGTTGTTTATAACAACGTTTGATGATCTTTTGTATTTCTGTGGTATCACTTGTAATGTCTTCTTTTTTGTTTCTAGTTTGGTTTATTTGGGTCTTCTCTCTTTTTTCTGATTAATCTAGTTAGGAGTTTATTGATCTTGTTTATCTTTTCAAAAAACTAACTCTTCATTTAACTGATTTTTGATATTGTATTTTAGTCTCTATTTTGTTTAGTTCTGCTCTGATCTGTATTATTTTTGTCCTGCTATTAATTTTGGGTTTGGTTTGTTCTTGCTTTTCTAGTTATTTCAGGTGCATCATTAAATTGTTTATTTGAAATCTTTCTACTTTTTAAATGTAGGAGTTTATTGCTGTGAATCCTGTCTTCACAATGCGTTTGTTGTATCTGATAGGTTTTGGTATGTCATGTTTCTATTTTCATCTGTTCCAGTAATCTTTTTTATTTTCCTCTCAATTTCTTCTTTGACCCATTGGTCATTCAGGAGCATGTTGTTTAATTTCCATGTATTTGTACAGTTTCCAAAGTTCCTCTTGTTATTAATTTCTAGTTTTATTCCATTGTAGTCTGAGAAGATATTTAATTTGATATCAATTTTTAAAAATTTGTTGAGACTTTTCTTGTGTGCTAACATATGGTCTATCCTGGAGAATGTTTCATGTGCTGATAAGAATAATGTATATTCTGTAGCTATTGGATGAAATGTTCTGTAAATATATGTCAGGTCCATTTGGTCTAAAGTGCAGTTTAAATCCAAAGTTTCTGTCTAAATGATTTGCCTAATACTGAGAGTGTGGTATTGAACTCTTCAACTATTTTTATATTGAATTCCATCTCTCCCTTTAGATCTAATAATATTTGCTTTGTATACCTCAGTGCTCTGATGCTGCATGCATGTATGTTTAGAATTGTTACATCCTCTTGCTGAATTGATCCCTTTATCATATAATAACCTTCTTTTACTCTTTTTACTGTTTTTGCCTTAAAGTCTGTTTTAACTGATATAAAGGTAGCTACTCCTGCTCTCTTTTGGTTTCCATTTGCACGGAATATACTTTTCCATCTCTTTACTTTCAGTCTATATATGTCTTTACAGGTGAGACATGTTTCTTTGTAGGCAGCATATAGTTAGGTCATTTAAAAAATTTCACTTAGCCATTCTATATCTTTTAAATGGAAAATTTAATTCACTTACATTCAAAGTTATTATTGATATGTCAGGGTTTATTTTTATCATTTTATTAATTGATTTCTGGTTGTTTTGTATATCCTTTCTTTCTCTCTTACGTTTTATCATTGTCACTTGGTAGTTTTCTGTGGTTATAACATTTGCATCCTTTCTATTCCTTACTTGTGTGTTTGCTCTACCAGTGGGTTTTATATTAACGCTTTTGTGTGTTTTTATGGTAGTAGATATCGTCCTTTCACTCCCAGGAATAGGACTCCCTTAGGCATTTCTTGTGGGATTAATCTAGTGGCGGTGAATTCCCTCAGCTTTTGTTTACCTGGGAAAGACTTCATTTCCCCTTCACTTATGAAGTATAACTTTGTATTTGGATGTCTAAATGTCTTAGTAGACTTGGGAAGTTTTCAGCTGTTGTTTCATTAAATAAGCTTTATATTCTTTTGGTTTTTTTCTTTCTTTCTGGCAATCAAATATTTGCATTTTTGCTGTCCAAATACAGGAAGCTCAGAGATCCCTAAACAGATGCAATTTTAAAAGATCTTCTCCATGGCATATTGTAGTCAAAATGTGAAAATTCAAAGACAAACAGAAAATGCTAAAAACAGCAAGAGAAAAGCATCTAGTCACTTACAAGTGAACCCCCATCAGACTAACAGTGGATTTCTCAGAAGAAACCTTAAATGCCAGGAGAGCATGGGATGATATATTCAAAGTGCTGAAAACAAACCTGCCAGATAAGGATACTATACACAGTAAAGTTATCTCTTCAGGCCTCCCAGTGATACATGCAGGTGTTGGTTGTAGTAGGAAGGGGTGGGGTGATCCCCAGGCCCCTAGTGGAATGTTCAGGTGGGGGTGGCAGTGACTGTGTGGCATCCCCACTGCTGGAGAGGGCAGGGTTGTTTTCAGTGGCAGCAGCCACAGGCAGGCAGCTGGGATGCATGAACTTCAGCCCCAGGTGGTGGCTTTGGGTGGAACAGCCTGTCTGTAGAGCACTTGCCTATGTGTAGCAGTCTCGCTACTGTGAGTGGTCATGCAATGACCCCAATGGAGGCAGCCAGCAATGATGGCAGCTACCTATGGGATGTCAATGGGGCTCCAGGGATGTGAAGATGAAGGGGCTGTTGAGCCCCAAGGCAGGATGCAGTTTGGCAGTGGCTGAGCTCTCAAAATGGCACCATGCTGAAGCTGCTTAGGACTTGAGGTGTGCAGGGGGCCCAATGTGAGCTCCATCTCTGGCGCAATGCCACTGTGCAGTTTCCAGGCAGCTCTCTAGGTTTGTCTCAGGGCATGGGAGAGTCGAGGGGCTCTTCCATGGCTCGGAATGCAGGAGCTCAGAGTGGGAATGTGGAGTGTTGGGTGTTGGGGATCACTTACTTACCTTTTACCTGCATTGAGAAGCCTCTTCTGGTTCCCAGCTGATCCCAGCTGAGCAAGCTGCCTGGCTTCCTTCTCCTTCCTTTTTTTTTTTTTTTTTTTTTAGCCCCTCTTTCCTTGCCTTAGATGTTTCCTGACACTTTTCTGTTGAATTCCAGTTTTATCTCTTAGATGATCTATTCAAAGTGTGATTATCTACTTGCAATTTTGGTTCTTCTTTGTGGAAGTGATGAGTACCAGAACCTTTAGTCAGCCGTCTTAACCCCCCTCCCAACAATCGGGTTTTTATCTGCTCTGAATATGACATTCAAATGCTAGCTCTCCTCTTACTAACTCAAATCTCTTTGTCACTACAAAGCAACCAGTTTCCAGTTTTATCCAAGGTTTCTTCTGGTGGCAAAGACTGCTTTGTGTTCACCAGAACCCATTTCCCCTTCTTCCTGGGCCCACAGCTACACTGCCTCCCTTTCAGTTCGGTGTGGCCATGAGACTGAGTTCTGGCCGATAACATAGGAGTGGAAGTGAGGAACATCCTTTCCAGGCCTGGCCCATAAAAAGCTCCCATTGAAAACTCACCATTCGCTCTCTTCCTATGTCTTCCTGCAGGTTGCTGACATCTAGGATGACTTGGGAAGTTACACGTTGAGTACAGAAGAGCCTTTCTCAGCCCAGGTTCCTGAATGTTATGTGTGAAGCAGAGCACTCCTGCTCTCATAACCAATTAGTGACTGGACAAGAAATAAACTTCTCTTGTCTTAAGCCTTAGAAATTTTGGATTTGTTAACACTTCGAATTGCCTTAACTTTTATGACATGCCACACATTTTCCATGCTCTGAACAGTGAAAGACTCATAGAATGTAGTGTTTAACATGATCTCTTTGTGAAGTGATCATCAATGTAGGATTCCTCCAAAGAAGAAACAATGACAACTCATCCCATCCTCACTGATCCTTTTATTGCTTTTATTGTGTGAACCTAGGATAAAAAATTATTATTATTTTTTTCGATAGGTTCTTGCTTTGTCCCCCAGGCTGGAGTGCAGTGGCGTGACTGTGATTCACTGGAATGTCTACCTGCCAGGTTCAAGTGACCCTCCCACCTCAGCCTCCTGAGTAGCTGGGACCACAGGGGTGTGCCACTATGCCTGACTAATTTTTGTATTTTTTTGTAGAAATGAAGTTTCACCATGTTGCCCGGGGTCTTTAACTCCTGAGTGATCTGCCTGCCTCAGCCTCCCAAAGTGCTGGGATTGCAGGCCTGAGCCACTGTGCCTAACCTATCTTCTAAGTACACACCTACTAATTGCTGCAAAGATACTTACTTTCATTCTAAGTGTGGATTTGGCAAAGAGCCAGATCGTAAATATTTTAGGCTTTGTGATCCACATATAGCTTCCGTCACCTATTCTCCTTTGTTTGTTGTTGTTGTTTTTTAAACAAAACTTTACAAGTATAAGAACCGTCCTTAACTCATATGCCTTACAAAAATGGGCTGCAGGCTAGATTTGGCCCACGGGTCATGGTTTGTACCTTACAAAGTAGGCAACAGGCCATATTTGGCACAAAGGACCCCTATACTGTGAGATCAAACAACCTCATACTCCAATGCCTTTGTAGGCCTCTTCTAAATAGTGCATATTCCATAATGTATTGCAAATGAAGCTTCTCAGGCCCACATGTTCCATTGGCGGAACAGCTCCTCCAGCACAGGAATTCTTGCTCACTCCTCTTTCCTCAGGGCCACAGCACAGAGAGAATACTCTTGAGGGATTTTGGTAAGTGAGTCAATACTCAAAGTGTGTGTGTTCTAGAAGGTATTATTTCTAATATTTCAGAACTTGGGTGTCACAAAGGTGGCCGTTTTGGGAAACATATACTATCTACTGAATTACTTTCTCTAGCCAGTTCCTCAGAGGGGATGGACTGTGTATATTAAGATAGGGGAGAACGGGAGTAGAAGGAGAACAGGCTTTGAAGTCAAAAGACCCCAATTTAAATCCTAGTCCCACCATTTGCAAGGCATGTGTTGTTGGAATACCTTGGCTGAGAGTCTTTCTGGGCTTCCATTTCCTCATCGGAATAAAGAGGGTCATTTACTACACATAACAGCTCTATCTCAAGGGCCAAAACAATGTTTGCCATATAATAGGTGTTCGGAAGATAGCAGTGACGGTAAATGTATTAACCCTAGAGACTCCTGCCGCAAGATCAAGGAGATTCCAAGAGACCCCAGAAATGCAGCCTTTGAGCCAATATCTTACTAATTGTCATCAGGCTTGGGCTAGAGCAATGGGTCTCAACCAAGGGTAATCTTTCACCCCACAGGGCATGTGGCAATATCTGGAGACAGTCATTTTGTTTGGAAGGGGTGATGCTATTATCTGGTGGGTAGGGGCCAGGGAAATTGCTAAACATCCTACATGGCACAGGACAGCCCCACACAACAGAGAATATTCCCATCCAAAATGCCAATAGCACGTAGGTTGAAAAACTCTGGAGTGGATGAATGAGTTCTCTCATTTGCCCATAATGGGAAAGATTCCCAGAGCCTCCCACAGGGATCTGCGGGGTCCCCTGGGCATGTCACAGCCCAGGAAAGTCTTACCTTGAACAACTCTGATCTTGGCCATCCAGTAGGAAAATCCAGTGTAGGTACCATCCGAGGAAGGGGTCAGCTCTGGGTACCAGAAAAGTGGAATGTCTTGAAGGAGAGATGGAGGCAAAGGTCATCACCGTGTCATCAGATTATCTAGAGCAGAGTAGAGATCTTGTACTAAAGAAAACCATCATTAAGCCCAAATCATAGATACTGGAAGAGGAAAGGCTTGGTCAGAAGTGGTGACCAGGTTTTGCTCTGTCATATACTTTTACCTCCTCTTCAGGGAATGATAAATGATAATGTGGCCTTCTACTTTTGTCTTTGCAAAAATTAAAAATGAATGTTTAATGAGCTACTGCTTTCTGCTAGACCTCTAACCTTCAGGGATGGTTTTCAGCCTGAGCATCTCAGCTTTCCACTTCACTGGGCTCCAGACTCCTCATGGGGAGTGTCTTTTTTCTCTATAGGAAGAATCCTGATGTTGGAAAATCTCTGCAGGGATCTGGCACCTGGTTTAGGACAACAACAAAAAGATCTCTAAAATTCAACCAACAAAGGTCCAAAGGAACTAGGTTGGAACTTCTGTTCCTGAGTAAATCTTTAAAATTTTGGTAGAGATAAATGTGGAATAATGTAAATAAAGCCACCTTTCATTCATTTTCTAGAGATTAATTAAGCACCTGTCAATGCCAAGCAAGTAAGTACAGAGAGTACAGAAATAAAGACAAACGAGTGAAAGAATGCCTTGGTTTGCAAGGATGACACATGAACAGACAATTACAATTCAGGGCTATGGGTGTCGAGTGGGGGTGCACTTACATCAGGTCGCTGGTCAGAGAGTGAGAGGAGGGGCTTGGAGACTTTCCAGAGTAAAGGAAAACTGAGCTGAATCCTGTGTTTTTCTCCCCTCTTCTTTCATTTCCCTTTTTCTAGATGTCTCAATATTGGCTCCATTCACTGGGAAAATGTGTACATACCTCCAACTTCTCTCAAAGGAGTTCCTTACACTTAAAAGAAGGAAGGAAAGAAGGAAACCTATGGCAGACCCTGTTGGGTCCCTGCCTACATCAGGGTCCCTTGGCCCCTACCGTTGCCATACTGGTGACCCTCACCACCAGCAACTGCAGGTCTCCACACTGGGGACTTTTTTGGTTAAGGGATCTGCTGAGCCTGCAGATAGGGCAGGGCAGGCAATGCCTGGGGGTTGATGTCCCTGGACTAACCCTGAGCCAAAGGTGAAGAAGACTTCATGTTTCAATGTCCTGGCTTCCTTGCCACTAGGGAGGGAGAGCTCTAGATGCATCCTACACCATCTCCCAGATGTCCCCAGTGGGATGGCGCCTCAGCTGCTCACAGCAGTAACCTACACTGCTATACCATGGTAGCGTACCACACCCTACATTAGCTTCCCTCCTCACCACCTGGCTGGTGCTCCCACTCAAATCCCAGCCTAAGAATCTGCTTTCGGAGAGCCCAGATGAAGGCAAAGCAAGTGCTGAGTAAATACACTTGCTCATCCAGGGTTTAACCAGTGTGTGCACCTTTGGTAAGACTGTTCACATGTCATAGGAAATAGATTTTTGGCCTTCAAGTAAACCCATGCAGTTGCAAATGGCTTGAAGACTTAGGGGGCTATCCTGAAATAAGGTCACTGACATGCCCAGGTGCCGGGAAGCTCCTCTGGGGCCAGAGGCACTGATGTGCAGGTTGTGGGGGCCTATTCACAGTGCTCTGCTGGACATTTCCCAGCTGAGGCAGACCCAGGCAGAAACTGTCCCAGAGACCCAATTGATCTGCTGGGGCATCGCGGCTGGCACTTCATAATCCAGCATCACAGCATATGATTCGGATATGACCCACCACAGTAGGTACAATTTTCATTTCCTTCCTCATGTCCCCACTGGCAGTCCAAAAGTCATTTATGGCTAGTTTCAAAATCCATGATATTTTTGCAAATGTTTATGTGCATAATGTGTGTGTCTATGTATGGTGCTTTATGATCTAATGATGCTTTAATTAAGTTGATATTCAAATAAGCTTGAATTCTCAGAGCTCCCTGGAGATGCAGCTTATGGAATAGCAGATGATGGGGAAGGATAGTCCATGATTAAAACATCACATGGGATAAATGCCAAAGCAAAGGTCCCACCCCAGGAGAGTTATGAATTGACTGCACCGCTTCTCATCTCCACCCCCTCAATCATTGCTGATGGGCAGAGGGAAACCATTTTCTGCCATCTGGTTTTTGCAAAAGTCAGGCAGTAAGCTCCTTGGGACAAGGATCTTATCTTGTATAGTTCAACAATGAGCACATGGCTGTGTACACTCCAAAAGCCCTATTAGTACTGAATGCAATCATAAAAATAGCCCAACCGTGGACCTTCGATAACGTCCCTGCCGTCGGCTCAAACCTGAGTCACTGTGTCTGAAGGGCACTGGGTTCCCCAGGCTGATGCCTTATGACTTACAAATAAGCAGCACATCAGCTGATAAAGTGACTGGGCCATTATAAAAATCATACAGTAGTTCCTAGGATGCCAGAAAAACAGCCGTTAAACAACAACTTATTTTTCCCTTGGTGTTTGATTTTGGCAATGTGTTCTTTTCAAATGAGAACTATGCCAAACATCTTGTATGAACCCTTCTAGTCAGCAAGTATGTGAATGACCTCTCTATGGCATGCCAGAAGCAGGGCCAGGAGAGGGGAAAGGAAGAGTTGTGGCTGAAGCATGCTGGGCTCAGAACCCTTGCTCTGCAGGCGGAAGCCACCTCAGAGCAGCATCCAGAAGCTGGGCATGAACGGAACAGCTCACAGTGCACAGCAAGGTGTCACAGCCCTTCTAGGCTCACTTGTACAGGCCCCCTCGTACAGATCTCTGTGATTTTCAGGGTTGGCAGCCACTGATGTTTGCTCCCCGAGGAAAAGTGCACCAACTTTAGGTGAATGCCTCATTGTTTGGGGATCTGGAACTGAATTCTCCTGCAGGACTAGCTATGAAATCACTAGAGGACAACAGGAGAAAGCTCATGTAGTGCAGCTTGTGTTGGTGTGGAAATGGACAGATATGCATGCCATCCTGGGCACATGTGTCCATGCCATGTGGGAATGGTCAGGGGATGAACACAGCAGTCTGGGGCTAGAGGCAGACCTGGCACCAGGATTTCCTGAGGAAGAAGTCCCCCTCCTGAGTACGTAACTTCTTTTCCCAGGCTCTCAGAAGTAGCAACACGCTGATGCCCTGCAGCCTTTCTGGGTAGTAAGCAGGGCACGTGGATGCTGGAAGCTGAGCTCTGTGCTGGGCCAGCCTGAGGGCAGTGAGAGAAAAATCCCTGCAGGAAAGTCATTCCCCAAAACAAGCCCATCCCAGTTCCCAGCCAGCTTCTGGGGCTCCAGCCCTCAGCGCCAACTCCATGTTCATATCTGATGGCAGGGAAATCATCTTTCTTAATTCCCAGGGCAAATTGTTCCTAGGAAAGAGCAGAATCTCAGGAGGAAATCACATCATCCGCGAAGGGAGAGCCAGTTCCTTTGTACTATTTTTCAGGGCTGCCTTTGGAGCCAATAATCTGTCATTCCTTGAATAAACAAGCACCTTATCATATCACAAACATTTATTTAACCCTTTTCTCCTGCACTTTTACCAGCAGGGAGAAGGAAAGCAGTTACCAGGGCAGCCAGAGCCCGTGGCAGAAATGCCAAATTCCCTGAACATTACACTCAATCTGTAAAGTGTCAGCCGGCCCTTTTCTGTGCCTCCATAAAGAACCAGTCACCCAGATTCAAGTATCACATTCCGGCCTCCCACTTCCACATCGTCCCTGCCCCAGCCTCAGCCCCATCTCCATTAATACCCCACGGCCTTTTGCAGACGGGCCCTTAATTCTGTCCAGTGGAGTCTGGGCTAATTTGTTAGTTTTTTTTAGGGGCTGATGGGGGGAATAGAAGGGGGTGGAGGGAAAGGCAAAAGAGTGTTTACATTTCTCCTTTTAATGACAATACACTTGACAGAGCTGTGAGTCCCAGCATTTTGAAATGTGTGTGTGTGTGTGTGTGTGTGTGTGATTTTTTTAAAAAAGGCATATTCTTTGACTCTGACATCACAGGAAAATGGAATGAGCAAAGTATGTAAATTTCTCCAAGCTCTCACAATCTCCATTTTCTCTCGGTGGATGGATTTTGTTTTTCTTTTCTGGTGTTGCTCCCACACAATGGGGCCAAATCTTGTTCAGGACAAAGAAACATATAAATAGAATATGCATGTGGTATGCACGGGAACTCTTGGAGACCAGAGAGAGACTGTTTGGACGGGCGTCTGAGGGCTGCTGGGGGAACCTTGGGGTCTTGGCCTGAAGAGCTTGACAGGCAGTGTCTGTCCCCAAAGTGACAAGTCACAAATTTCAAAATCATTCTTATTCTCTGGGAAACACTAAGAAACCCTGGAATGGGTACAAATTTAAAATGAGAATGTGAAATATCTTTGTGTGAGTGCATCAGATGTAAGATGTCAGTCTGCCTAAGATATTGGATGTGTTTTACAGAGCTGATGGGGTGGGTTTTCTTTTTGATTCACCACGAACAATGCTAAGTCCCGTGCAGCATGTCACCCTCTGCATCTGCATCATCTCAGTGACATCCAGGTACTCGCTGAAGCTTATATCTTTCCTGTATTATGGATTTGCAGTTGTTTCCGTGTCAATCATCCTCCAACCAAACTCTCCCCTCTTAAAAACTGCATACTATAGCTCTAGCCAAAAAGACTTATCAGCGCAAGTTTGAGCAAACTAATGTGTGCAGACCCTGAGTGGTTATTTTTGTTTCCAAGTCTGGACATAGAATCACTTGTTCAATTTCCTGCTGGGTTATATCAAGTGGTTTTAACATGTAAATCTCTGATAAGGAAACTGACTAATTTATGTAGATTACCTATCTGAATTGCTGTCAGGATTGCCTTAATTTTTTCTGCTTCCTTTACTTCTCCACTTTTTTCTCAGTTATCATTATTACCATTACCAGGACTATCAAGTACAACCTTATTCAGTATATGTTTAGAAAATGTTCTTACTAAAACTTAAAAAAAAAAAAAAACAAACCAAAACAAACAAAAACCCTCTGCATTCCTGAAGTGTGTGTGGGAGTTCTGTTGGTTTGGATGTCTGTGCTTTACAACCCGAATTCAAAATATATAGCCTCTCAGACTCCGTCACGTCCTTGACAATCAATCAGAAGATTGTTATTTGTTTTAATAAAAAAATTTTTTAAATGAGAAATGATCTGAACTACTTCCATTTTATTTCTATTCCTTAACCAGCCTCACCCTACTTCAGCTGATGGAGCTTCCCTAATCTCTAAATTGAAATCCTACAAGCTGCTTGAGCACTAGATTCTAGAACCTGCTCTGGCTATAACATGAAGTAAGTTGATCCCTGTGGGATTTTCCATGCAGTAGCTTGATCAAAGCTACTGGTTCCCACCCAAACCTTGCCAAAGGAACACCAAATTGAACCACCATCCACCAAGAAAGCACCGCCATAAGAACCGAAAGTCAGGTGAGTGATCACAGTACCTGTGTTTAACACCATAGCAAGGAAAGAGGCACCGAAGAGAGAAGGAAAGACAGTGTTGAATCGCCGACACCACCCTGCCCCCATCCCCTGGCAGCAGCTGTGTGGCAAGGAGAGAGAATCAAATAATTGTTAATTCTATGCCCAAATACACAGACCGGGGTAGTGTCTTAGTCTGTTCATGCTGCTATAACAAAATACCACAGACTAATTTATAAACAACAGAAATTTGTTTTTCACAGTTCTGGAGGCTGGGAAGTCCAAGATTGAGGTGCTGGCAGATTCTGTGTCTAGTGAGGGCTGCTTTCTGCTTCCAAGATGGCACCTTGTTGGTTCAACTTGTGAAAGAGATGGAAGGGCAAAAGGGACCTAGCTGGTTTTCCCCAGCCCTTTTATAAGGCACTAATCCCATGTATAAGGGCAGAGCCCTCATGGCCTAATCACCTCCTAAAAGCCCCACCTCTTAATGCTGTTGCCTTGGGGATAACGTTTCAATGTTATTTTGTGAATTTTGGAAGGGACACGAACATTCAAGCCATAGTAGGAAGACTGAGTCAACGTAAACCTGTACAGTAATCTCCCTTATCTGCAATTTCACTTTCCAAGGTTTCAGTTATCTTCAGTCATCCATGGTCCAAAAATATTAAATGAAAAATTCCAGAAATAAACAATCCATAAATTTTAAATTGCGTGCCATTCTGAGCAGCATGATGAAATCTCTCGTCATCCTGCCCAGGTCGTGAATCATGCCTTTGTCTAGCATATCCACACTGTAGAAACTCCCCACCCTTAGTCACGTAGTAGTCATCTCAGTTCTCACATGGAAAAAGCATGTATATGTAGGGTCAGTACTACTCGAGGTTTCAGGCATCCACTGGGAGTCTTGGAATGTATCCCACCACTGTAACCAATATCTGATGCTATTCTCACACCAAGCTGGTAAACCTGGCCTAAACAAAGTCCCAAGCTGCCCCCAGACTTGTGAGCTAGGGCTTTTGTCTAGAAACAATCTTTAGTGACCCAAAGTCAAAGCTTAGGTATCCTGTTGACTGGGCACAGCAGTAGAACCCATCGATTCTGGAACATGGACCTCTAACCAGGTAGGGTTCTGCTTCCTTGTTAGGTGCCTTGAGGAATGTGGGGCCAGGAGGGTCCTTCAGGCCTCTCCCTACACCCCAGTCCCACCCCAGCCCCCTCCTGCTGCTCCTGCAACTGCCCTACTCTCTCAGAAGCCTTGTGCTTCAGAAGTGTTTTAAGACAAGAGAGTGTGAGACTAAATGCAAACTGGCTTCAAAAATGACCATTGTTTGTATCCACTGGGAATCCTTCAAGACCTTTCCCTCCCCTCCCTTCTCCCCACGGTGAACTTTAAGCATTTTTATCCATGGAGACTAAAGACAAAGTACTGTGTCTGGCTTCTCTTCTCTTTTCCAGCCAGCCCACTTGCCAGTCTGGCTTCTCTCATCTTTGTTTGGATGCTCTTCTTCATGACTCCTCGCCAATGCACAGATGTAAACTATTGTCTGATTATTAAAAGAAAAACACAAAACACAAAAAAAGCACACATGCCTTCAGTATTAATGACCATAGAGCTGTCTGCATAAGGTGAAGTCTGTGGTCCTGAGCAGACCACAAGCCATCAGCCCCTGCTGCTCCAGGAACTTGTGCTTTTCTCCTAGGTTTTATTAAAAACAAATTTAGGCAAACACAACAGGCTCAGAAAGGAGCACCACTGTGCCCTTGAAACTTTGCTGGGCAGCCTCCAGTGGCAAGCCTTGTCTTTGTCACCTCCTCCCAGTGAAGTTCACTATCTTTTGGCCCCCCTCAGAACTGCTGCCCCATACTGTCCACCTCAGCCTAGTAGCCAGAGACCTCGTGTTTGGTCTTTGCCCTCAACAAGACACTTCTAGCCACACTGAGTCATTGCTAGCTTGTTGGAAAGGTGAGAGCACTGGGTGGAGAGTCAGAGGCTGGCTTCCCTCCTACCCCTGCTGATAGGTTGCATGATCCTGAGCAAGTTTCTTCTCCCTGCTCAGTATTCTTGCCTGCAAACTAAGAGGGCTGGGCTAGACACATTCCTTCCATTTTTCCTTAAGCAAATATTTATTTAGCTCCTGCTCTGTGCAAGACACCGAGGATGGAACTGAAAACAGGACAAACAAGGTCCTTGCCCTCATGTAGTATATGGAACAGCAGGAGAAAGTTAAAAGAAAGTAAAAGAAGACACTCTGAGCATCCTTGTATCTCCAGCAACCTTCAAATGTGTCACTGAGAACAGCCGAATGTGCTGTCGTTCTGATTTATTGGGGATCAAAGTCTTTAACTAAAGATGTGGGATTCTTGTATGGATTTTCACACATCAGCTTCAGGAAATAAGTAATAAGGAGGAGTTCATGACCCTGAAATCCCCCCTCAATGGATACCTGCTACACTTCTCTCCTGAAAGCCAGGTATCTGCAGCTGTCATCCCACTTGCTACTTTAACTGAAGGAATTTTCAGAAGCAGCAGCCAAACATGACACACCAGCAGCCTGTAGCTCCACCCTTCAGTGGAACTGTTATTTTTAGGCCTCTCCTCTCTTGTCACAAGCATCTACATACCTCCCTGGGTGACTCATGTTTGTGGATAGCACCAAGCACACGTGACTTTTTCAATGTGGGGCTGGCTTATTTTGACAAACCCACTCTCCGTTCCATCTCTACTTGCAATACTCAGAATACTGTAGTGTGGGAAAAACTGTGGGACTTCCAGTGCTCCTCAAATGTGTGCCATGCAGCAGGAAAACTACCCCCAGAGAAGCTGGGACAAAGCTGTCCATGAGCCAATGAGTTACTAGTCATAAAGTTGAACATATTGTTTCCATATTGCTTTGCTCCACATTCGTAGCCATATGACTTGACCCCAGAGTTTCAGGTACAGTAAAATGCTCTTATTCATTATGGGGCCATGTTACCATGCATCAAGGTGATATCCTGAAAAATCACACCTCACATGGCTGTTAGACACTTGTGTAAGACGTGGGCTCTCAAAACAGCACATACCGAAATTGGAGTACTTCTAGAAGGTGTTGGGCCTGAATCATCCATTTCTATCAGAATTTTTAGCAATTTTTTGGTCATAGAAAAAAATATTTCTGAGTCTATATTTCAGGCAATATGACAAAAAGGACAAAAACATTGCCATGTGGACCCAGGTCAGTGGCCTATCTGTGTGGTGCCAGGAGGCAGAGAAGATGAAGTTTCCCTTTCAGATTCAGCAAGTGACTCCTTTCGTCATAAATCCATTCGGTGGTGTCATGCCACACCTCTCTCTTATTACCTGTACACCCACTTTTTGTTTGTATATTGGTTTGTTTGTTTTGTTATTTCTGGTCTTCAATGATCTCAGGCTCTTTCTTATCACAAGGTATCCTCAAGGGCTATTACCTCTGCCCAAAATATATTCACCCTGGAATATATTCTTCACCCAGCTAACTCATTCTGGTCTTAGTTTAAAGACCTTTTCTCCAGAAAAGCTGTGTCGACCCCTTTGGGGGAAGGTGGATTTCTCTGTTTTTTCTTTCATAGCATCCTATATCTTTCCACTGTGGCAGTTCTCACAGCAGTATTTAAATGATTATTTGTTAAAATGACTTGCTGAATACATGTCTTTCCCACCAGATTTTAAACTTCATGAAGGCAAGCCTTCTTTATTCACTTCTACTGTTCCAATGTCCAGCACAACACTTTGCACGTAAGAGTATTTTTCTCAAAACCTGTGTCAATTTGATAAGTATCCTTCTTCAAATTTACATAGAAGGAGGACAACTGAAAAGCAATGTGGTCCATTCCCTGTTATATAAACACGTGTGTTGCACTGCAGAAGCAGAAAGAAAGCAGCAAGTGTTTCTGCCCGGAATCACATGAGGCAAGACTCAACAGAAGATGGAACATTTAAGCAGGCCTTGAGGTAAGAATAGTTCAGGTGAAAAGAGTGGAAAAAGGAATTCTGAGGAGATTTGATACAAAAAAAGGCAGAAAGATATGAACATATAGAATGAATTCCAGGGAAGGCACAGCAGTCAACTGTGGTAGAATACAGCATGACTGTAGAGGAATACAGGAAAGGGATCTGGAAAAATGCTGGTGGACTTGTCTTTTATTCTAGAGACTTTCTATTTGAAGCAAACTGAAATCAAACTTCAAATACATGAACATTAAATCATGAGTTTGTGCTCTAGAAAGTTCTCTCTAGTGGCAGAATGACAGATAGATTAGAGTGGGGAGGGGGTGAAAACGATTTGGAAGGTCATTGCAGTGATCCAGGCAAGAGGTGACCTGGCCCTAAACTCAGGCAGGTGGCTGGCATGGCATGAGGGACAGGTGCAAGAGAGAAAGTGGCAGTACAACCTGGAGGGCTTGGTATGTGTTATGGTTTGGCTGTGTCCCCACCCAAATCTCATCTTGAATTGTAGCTCCCGTAATTCCCATGTGTTGTGGGAGGAACCCAGTGGGAGACAATGGAATCATGGGGGCAGTTCCCCCCATACTGTTCTTGTGGTAGTGAATAAGTCTCACGAGACCTGATGGTTTTATAAAGGGAAACACCTTTCACTTGGCTCTCATTGTCCCTTTGTTGGCCACCACGTAAGATGTGCCTTTCACCTTCCGTCATGATTGTGAGGTCTCCCTAGCCACGTGGAACTGTGTGTAAGTTCATTAAACCTATTTTTCTTTATAAATTACTCAGTCTCGGGTATGTCTTTATCAGCAGCATGAAAACGGACTGATACAGCGTGATTAGATATGGGATGTGAGGACAGAAAGTGCGCCAACTATCACTAAGGACCCTGGCATGGGCACTGGCTGACTGACCATGACATTAGCTGTGACAAGGGTATGGGCGGTGTGGGTTGGGGAATCAGGAGTGAGATGAGGGAGGGGAGCTCATTAGGTTTTGAACAAGATGGGCTTGGTGTGTGTCCTTGACATCTTGGTGCAAATGTCAAGAGTAGTGTTTCTCAACCTTCCTTTCATGATCACCCCTTCATAAGGAGCCTTTTAAGAATTTTTTTTCCTAATTGCCCTGCCCCCAGGAGACTCTGACATCACAGATATACCATATGTCTGTTGATATACTATATGTAGTCTGTACTTGTACATTAAAGGAACAGAATTTTTTGCTCCTTCTTCCAAGAACCCATTTTTGCCCCCTGGGGGTTAGTATTACACCCATGAGAAAGCATGGGCAGGGATTGGGAGGTGGGCTGCCACAATCCCAACTGCGAGAATAAGGACGGCTTCATGCAGAGGAAGAGCATTTGCAAGGCACTTTAAAGATTGGGTTAAAAACAGTTTTTAACTGAAAACTAAAATTAGAGATAAAATTCACAGAGAGAGGGTGCTTTGGATTTGGGGATACGGGTGCATTGCAAATGGCATGTGGAGCTACAGGAGCAGGCTACAGCACCAGGAGAGAGGGACTCCAGGAAGAAGACAGAAAAGGAGGGCAGAGCCTGGGGGCCACCAGGAGTGCTGTCAGCAAAGTGGAGACAGGGCATCCCAAGGGGAAGGGGCCCTGGATAGCAGCGTCACACCGTGAGGAGAGAGCCTTGAGAGAGAGAAGGGGTAGCGGTATGGCCACAGGAGAAGAGCTGACAGGATCGGTCACTGCAACAGATCAAAGCTCAGGAATGAGCCTCTGATGGGCTGTTTGAGAAGAAAGAAGGGTGGACCATTTGAGTAGAAGCCTAAATAAAGATGAATGTGCATGTCAGGAGGTTTAAAACACTTGCAAAGATTTTACAGGAACAAAAGGACAGAAATTCAAATCGTGTATGGTATTACAGAACTGTGGTTTTTTAAAGTTCTTTGGATGTTTCTGTACTTTATCTGTCTTTTCGTTTCAGGCCAACAGCTGCCCATTGTCACTGGTTCTACCTTTAGCAGCATCTCTCTCCTCTCCTGATATCCTACAAGCCTGGAAACCTGGGACTGTTCAGAGCCCCGAGAGCTAGAATAAGTGTGCCATGTAATGTGGATGTGAGTAGTAAGACAGAAAAATAAAAAACAAACTGTGGCGGGAGGCTAATAAGACCCCCATAGACAAACGTTTAGGTTGTTTCTAAGCTTTCGCTTTTTACAATGTTGTAATGAATGATTGTGAGCTCATTCCATGTATTTGTGAATATAACTGTAAGATAAATTCCTAGAAGAAAAGGTGCTGGGTCAAAGGGCACGTGATTTAAAATCTTGATCCTAGAAGATAGTGCAAGTTACATTCTCACCAGTGATGCATGAGAGAACACATTTCCTTACATCACAGCCAACACAAGGTACTGTCAAATGTTTTTATCTTTGCCAGTTTGATAATTGAGCAGTAGTACTACATTTTAGTTTAAATTTGCATTTCCCTTTTTATGAATGAAATTGAGTATCTTTTTATATGGTTGGAAGATAGTTTTATTTTATGTTATTTTATTTTGGTGAAATGCTTTAGAGCTTTTGGCCATCTTACATTTGATTAATATTTGCACAGTGATTTGTATAAGTTCTTCACATCTAAAAAGAATTTATCTTTAATCAGTGAATGAGTTGCACATGTTTTTTCCAGTTCATTGCTTTTATTCATGTATAATACTATTATATAACTGTATATTATATAATATTATAATACAAGACACACTTAAAATTTTGGGGGTAGTGAAAGTTATCAATATATTATTTTATGGTTTCTCAGTTTTTTATTATATGTAGAAAAGCCTTTACTATTCTGAATTTATTTTTAAAGTATCTTCTTTTTTTTTCTTCTAGTACTCTTCTGAGGTTTTTTTCTTTCTAAATTTTGGGTTCATTGGAATCTCAGTATATACATATTTTTTCAGAGGTCTATATATTTTAGTGTCCTTTATTGACTTAAGCTGCCTTTTCTCTACTGATTTAAGCTACCAACTTCTGTTATATACTAGTTTACCATATATATTTCTATCTACTTACCCGTATACCAATACCATGAGGTGTTAATTGATACCACTTTACAATGCATTTGACACCTGGTAGGGTAGTCTTATTCATTAATCATCACACTCCACTGCACCCCAACTCTAGCTAGCTGCTTTTTAGATTTTCTCTTTGTTTATGTATTCTGCAATTTCTTTGTGATGTGCCTTGATGCAAATTTCTTTTCACTTATCTTTAATAGTTATTATTGTTCTTTCAATAACCTACCACCTCACTTTTTTCTCATCTTCTGAAATAACAATTACACTTTTGAAAGAGAAGAAAGACCATCTTGGAAAAAAGAGACCTTCTCTCTCTGTCCTCTACGTCTCTTTACCACTCTCCTATATTTTTCATTTCTTTGCCTCTTTGCACTATAATTCTGTATAATTTATTCACATTATCTTCAGTTCTCTAATTCTGTCTTCCACAGTGTCTAATCTGCCACCATACCCATTCACTGACTTTTCAATTTCTGTTACTCTATTTTTAATTTTAGAAGTGCTAGTTGATCTTTTTCTAACCCACAATGTCAATTTTTATTGTTGACTATTTCTTGCAGATATTTTAAAGCTTACCTTACATTTATTTAAATAAAATTAACATAGCTCTTTGTACTCTGTGTCTGGTCATTCAAACAGCTGCAGTTGTCTAACTCGCCTCTGCTGTCTATTTTGCTGACATTAACTATTGGTGCTTTGTTTTCTGAGTTTAGTAATCTTCAACTGTACTGCTTACTGCCCTTGAG
The DNA here is from genome assembly GCF_000001405.40 of Homo sapiens. NCBI lineage: Eukaryota > Metazoa > Chordata > Mammalia > Primates > Hominidae > Homo > Homo sapiens. The sequence goes on along the minus strand of NW_014040928.1, from coordinate 72,406 downwards.
AAACCATTTATACAAAATCCTCGAGGCCTAGGATGAAAGTATCTGCCTCCAGAGATGATTAGAGCTTGCTTCTGCCAGGTGCTTGGGGGTACTGTAGTTGTGTATCACTTTAAATTCATAGCTCAAAGTTTCTTGGCTCATCCCAAAGACATGTATTTGAGCAGCATATGGGCAAATACTGCCAGCCAATGATTCAGTGATGACGTCCTATCAGGGACGGGTTTTCTTTTTCTTTTCTCTGCTTTGCTTAGTGTCAAGGTAACTCTCCCATGGTCCCCTGGGGTAGTGGGAAGGGGAGCAGGTTCACCTTTGGTTTGTCCTTACCCTGAAGGTGAACCCCTTCAGACTCACAGCTTAATGTGAGGCAAGAGTCTCCTATGAGACCCTCCTTCCTACCTTGGGTGAGTCTTGGCCTTTGACTTCCGTATTCTTCATTCTGAGAGTCCATGAAAACCACAGCCAACTCAACTTAACCTGATCAACCACGGGCAAAATCCAATCAGGGCAAAACCTAATCACTTGGGAAGTCCTGATTATCTTGTCAGCTTTTCAGTGCTTTTAAAATCAAGTTTGTTTAATATGTTATCCAAATATTCATTGTTTTAACTGCAAGAATTAATCTAAATAACTAAGTCCATTATTACCAGACATGGAATGTCTGTTGATTTTTCTTATAAGTTTTAGTAACAGCTTATCTAGCTTTTTAAAATCCTATATTTTTATTGGCTTCAAATTCCATTTATAGATATCATTGGGAGAGTTAAATTTTTTGCTTTAAGTCTTCCTACTTAAGAATATGTCATGCCTTTCCATTTCTTTCATTTTTTTCTCCTCAATAACGTTTTAAAGTTACATTTTATATGACTTACACTTTGTGTTAAATTTTTACTCTTACACTTTTCAAAATTATTTTTATCTCTTTTTTTTTGCCCACATCTCACATTCCTTTTTACCAAAATGTTAGCTTTAAAAAATATATACCTAGGTGTTTTCTTTCTTTCAGTTAAATTAATATAAATATTAAACCTTTAAGTTTTTTCCAGAATTCTGCTTTAGCTCTGTCCCATAGGTTCTGATATGTACTAGCTTAATTATTTTCATTTATAAAAATATAACCCTTAATTATTTTTATTTTTAAAAATATATCCCTAATGGAAGAGTTGCACATGAAAGAATATTTTAGCATTTCCAGGTGGTAGAATTTTTCTCCTTCCTTATTTTATTATTAGTTTTTAAATGAATTGCTTTGTGATCAGAGAAGCTTTTCTGGACTCAGTCTAATTTCTGAAGTTTAGTAACATGTTCTTTGTGGACTTGGATATGGTCAGTTTCCAGCAGAATCTGAGTCTCCGTTCTGCTGCTTCCACTGTGGTCTTGGTTTCTAGGTTGTCATTTTTGCTAAGTTCTGCCAACTTATGTTTCACTTCCCATTGTCTTGCTAAATATTTCCTAAACTACTGTATATGTTTTTTTGAGCTCCTGTTTTTTAAAGGCGATTGTTTCACTAAGTTTTTTCTTTTCTTTTTAAATTCATGAAAGTATGTTGGGTCATAAATGTCATCTGTTTTGTGGCAATATTTTTCTAGTGAAGCTTTTTTTTTTTTTTTTTTTTTTTGAGACAGAGTCTTGCTCTGTCAGCCAGGCTGCAGTGCAGTGCTCAATCTCGGCTCACCATAAGATCCGTCTCCTGGGTTCACACCATTCTCCCGAGAAGCTGGGACTACAGGCGCCTGCCACCATGCCTGGCTAATTTTTTGTATTTTTAGTAGAGATGGGGTTTCACGGTGTTAGCCGGGATGGTCTCGATCTCCTGACTTCGTGATCCGCCCGCCTTGGCCTCCCAAAGTGCTGGGATTACAGGCGTGAGCTACCGCCCCCGGCTGTAAAGCTTTTTTAAACCTAATTTATTTGCTTTTCTTGTTTCATTCATTCTCTTTTCATCTATAGATACTGTGTGTGTTCCTTTTTGAATACTACCCATCTCTAAGTCAGGTCCGGGCTTTCTGAATTAGCTATCTGCAAGACATTTGGATGGGGAAGTGGGTGGTGGCCAGAGTTATATTCTAAGCTAGCAGGAATTCTCCTTAAATATAATGTTGTATGGATGAGGGACAACTTTGAGATCTGCTTCTCCTCCTGCAGGGACTGGCCGCCTTAAGCAGGGCTGCACAGGAGGAAATCTGTCTCCTCCCCGCTCTGCTGAAACACTAAATGAAGAACTTTTTAATTGTTACTGAGTATCTGAGTCATTGAATTCCTCAGTTTTCTGGAACTGTGATCACACAAGGCTTCGCTTTAGAACACGGATACTCTACATAGTAAGAAGCTACAGTTGAACTGCACATGCCACCCTCATTACCACTCTCATCAAATGCTGTAGCTTCAACTTCCTCCTTCAATCCAGTTTAAAGACTGGGACATGGAAAATAAGAAAGTGTTCGGACATTTTCAGAATGGAATAACGCGTGTGAAGGGCGGGGTCCTGATGCAGTGGCCACAGGCACACCTGAAGGTGTAGATTTTCTTTTTGGGACAAAGACTCCCTATTGTCCTTCAAAAAAAAAAATCTTATCATATTTTAATTATATCACCCAGGAAAATAGACTGTCCTGGAAAACAAAAGTCACCAGCCTCTGCTAAAGCTGGAGTCTTTAGGGGTAAAATCAGGGGCACAGGTCAAACATAGTTTTCGGTGACCTATGTCTGCAAGGCAGTCAGAAGCAATAAACTGTGCAGGGTTGATTAAGCTTGATGATATCAATGTACTCTATTGAGTATTGAAATATTGAAATATTTGTGATGTTATCTATTTATTTGTATTGTTCCATGGGTATGTATCTCCTATTTGCTTTCATCAGAGATTCAGAGGACAGTCCTCAAAATGAAAAGATTCTTGTAGTTGTTTTCTGAAACATCCAAGAAGTACCTGGAAAGACAAAGGGAACAAATAACTACTACTATTAATCATTGGACGCTGATAATGTGCTAAAGGTGATATCTTATTCACAACTGCACCATGTAAGTGATCATCCAACATTCTTCAGTGTTGTACTCAAGGCTCAGAGAGGGTAAGAAACTTGCCAGAGTCATCCAGCAAGCAAGGATCAAATCTGGGATTCAAAACAGGCCCCGAAGCCTCCAGAGCCTAGAGTGGGAGCTGGCACTGACATGAGGACGGGAGAGTGGAAAAAGAATCCTAGGATTCCTGCAACGAAGCAGGTCTGGTCCCGACAAGGGGCCCCAGGCCTCACAGGGGGACTTGCCCAGTGAACACAGGGTGCCGGGAACTCCGTACCTCCCTCCTGCAGCCCGCAATTTTCCATCACCATTGGAGAGCTGTTTGAAATACTACAGCTCCAATCCCCATGACCCTCTTGAAATTCCTCCACCATCCCTGAGGCCTCCCAGTCCCAGTGTGGGAAATTCTGCTTTAGAGGGATGTTATGAATATTAAGGAACAAGTGATTATTAACCTTTTGGCAAACATACAGTCCTATAGAAATGTTAACCGTATGTTCCCATTTAACTTCATTTATAGCACTTGGACGACACTAAGACATTTGCCTCTTGTTTAGGACTTATACTAGTCAGAATTTGCAAAGAAATCATTAGGCACTTCCTACATAAGGCATAAGAGACGCTGTCTACATCTTCGTGCCTTCTGATCCAGAGGGTTTGGTTTGGTTTGGTTTTTGCTTTGAATAATACCCTGTAGTTGACTGAGTCTGTTACAAATAATCTCTTAATTATGTGACTTACTCCACTCAAAAGACTTCAGCAATTCACCATTCCTCTGAGACCATTTACAGGTTATTAAAAAATCTAAGTTCCGTATAGTTGGCCTTCAACTTGGATGTTAAGCTTGACATGATTCCTTTCCACGTGTTTTCATTTTCTTCTGCGACAGCACCTCCTGCCCCCCAGAATAGTGCATTTATCTCCCAAATTCAATCATCTATATTAACTGGGGACCTGCTATCTGGATAAGTGATATCCACAAGTGTTCCAAGAAACTTTAATATTAATAACTTTATCGCAATCAATAGTTCCAAATTCATCAGACAGGATTTCACTAGAGTTGCCAAAAAGGAATACAATTTAACTGCTCTGAGAGCCTTCACCCTGTTCTCATCCCGTGTTTCCATGGAAGATGCAAAGAACAGAGACACACGAGAAAGGTGGACAGGCAGAGTCAAGAATGAAACGGAATGAGGTCTCTGTCAACAAGCTGGATAATGTCCATTTCCCTGAGCTTGAGTCTGTTCCTCTCTGTTCCTCCTTCTGTTTTTTCTCTCTCCTCACTGGAGTGCTAATGAATACCTTCCACTGCTCTGGAATGCCATTATGTTGTGATTGTCCTCCCTTGCGAGGTCTTTGCAGAGGCCACGATGAGACCGGTCTCATCCACGGCTTTGTGTCCTCCTCCCTGATACAGTCCCCAAAGGCCCTCTCCACTCAGGGCTCAAGTTCCACTCACTGGGTGGGTCATACCCCCAGCCCTGTAAAATGTTTCTGAAGGATTGGGGCTCTGACATACCTCACCCAAATCTTTTGCATCTTTAATAAACGAAGTTAGTACCAAGATATCTTAAAGCAATCAAGTCTTCATTTACACCCTTTAAATATCTGTAGACAGTTATCATGGCCCTCTGTCAAGCAACACGATGACCCGGTTCTGCCCTCTCTCAGAAATGCGAAGGAGCAGTATTCACGCTGTTTCAAAAAATCCTCGGCAGCAGGGAAGACTGACTCCGTTGTTATCAGAAATGGAAAGTAAATTTGTCTCTACCCTGTAAACAGAGAAGTTTTTACACTGTTCTTCACAAGAATTCACAGTGCAGCTTACAAACAACAGGGATGTGGTCATTGGTCATTTGTTTCCTTACTTACCAGAAACAAACAAACAAAAGCCAGGGATGTTGTCAAATGACAATCATGAAATCACATTTTATTGAACAGGCTTTATACTTGTAAGATGTCATCTCTTCCCTTTGTCTCCAAACTGCTTTTATCTCTCCTTTTTCTTTTTCCTCTTATCTTCCGGTAAAATGCATGAATCTACACCTTGGAGCAAACTTTAAACAGATTCCACTTTAAATTCTTCAAGGACAATGACTTTAGTAGTTATTCATGTGTGTGTGTGTGTGTGTGTGTGTGTGTGGGTGTGTGTGTGTGTGAAAGAGAGAGAGCGCCAAATGAGTGAATGAGTGAATAAGAAAATAAATGAATAAAAATTGCAAAAGGGATCAAACAGGAGCAAATATGAGATAGTTTAATTTAAAAAGAAGAAAGAACATCTAGTTACATTTCTGAATTCACTGTTGCTGTTGTATCATGACTAAAACGCTTAGTCCCATAAAATTGTGCTGACTGAGGAAGGCACACAGCAAGGTACAGGCTGTGGGGACAGACAGCCCTGTATTTGCATCCTGGCTCCAACACAGACCTGCCTCCCTAACTGCTCTGAGCCTCAGCTTTCTCTTCTGTCTGAGGCAAGTCACCAGAGCCATAACAGGCACCTTGTGAGATTCACAATAGAATGATGTCATACTGTGCTTGTCACTATGCCTGGCACATGTGCTGAATTTTCTCTGGGTGGCATTCAGGTAAGTGTCAAAGTGAAGAAATTTTTAATTTTTGCTAAATCTGTCATGTGTGTTCCATGGATTTATTCTTTCACATCTCCTACTTCTCATCTCCTATTTTTTAAGTCCTTAATGATGAATTTTACTGAAACAATTTCAGGACTCATTTTAGAATTAGGATTCAGCATTCCACATGCCCCGGAAGTGATAAAGGCCATGTTAAGTAATCCTTCTGCTGTGTCTGGGCCAGTCTTTGGAAGGCAGCTTCCAAGACCCAGGTGGTACAGTGGTCCTGTCTCCAGCCCTCCTCTGAGTTCTCTTCCATTGCAACCCTTCCTCATTTTGGATGAAGCAGCTGCACTGGAAGCATGAAATAAAGGCGGGTGCTCTGAGAGTCAAAGAAACCTCTCTCAGTGTAAATAAGAAACAAGACGTAACAAAGAAGGAGAGAAAAGGCAAAGTGAACATTTTTCTAATCCTAAAGGGTATCGTTCGAACGGCCTCTGTTTTAGAACTTCTTATCTGAAGTGGAAAAAAGGTTCTTAAAATCATTTATGCCAATAAAACTTGGAAGTGTTGAAAGAATCCCAAAAGAGCAGGCATCTTAGACGCGGTGCCACCTTGTTGCCTGTAACTGCAGTCCCGGTTCCACTCTGTTAATCCTTTCAAAGCAAAACTGCACAACTGGGACTCTCATGGATACTACTACAACTGAAGGCTGGAAAGAGGAGCCAGGCATGAGTTTGCTGTGAGTAAAAAAGTAGGAAGTAGCAAAGGTACTTAGCTGAGAGATTTGGGGACTGAGAGCTTAAATTAATATGATCAAGAAAATAATGAGTCTCCAAATGAACAGCTACTGGCCAGGAGACCCTAAAATAAAATGCTGTTATTTATTTAAGGTTCAATCATCTTACCTGGGATTGCAGATATCTGCACAAGATGGGCTGCTTGGCATGGCTGGAAGCCCTGGAGCTGCCACCAAGCAGTGGGCACTGGGTACACGGATGGGGAAATCACCATGTGCTGGGTCCCACATCAGCTTTACAGGAACTGTCTCATATGACCCTCACGGAACTCCAGGAGTCAGGTGCAGTGGCTATCATCCCATTTTATGAAAAGGGAAACTGAACTCAGGGATATGAAGTAACCTGACCAGGGTCATACAGCGTTGGGATTCACACTCCAGCACGGGGACTCTGGGGTCACCCTCCTAGCCTCCTGCAGGTGGACCTCAGCAACCCAGAAAGAGGGCACAGCAATGTGTTGAAAGTGAGCTTGGATGATAGTTACCTGTGCCCTGTCCTGGGCTCAAGATATACCAAGGCTGGGGAGAGTGCATTTCCGGCTTCACCATGGCAGGTGCAGGTGTGGATATTCCAGTAGGTTCCCGGTGAGGGGGACAATGTGGACCAGTAAGGTATGTGTGCAGCACAGACATCCACTTACAGCAACAGGGATGGCCCTGCCTATCCCTACACACACCTCTTTCCTCTTTACCAAGTTCACCTCTTCCAAATTTCATGGCTAAACATTCTTACCTCCCCACTTGCCCTCCCCTCCCACCTGACCCCCTAAATCCTGACTCCCCAGCTAGAGCATCTTCCTTTCTGGTACCTGTGCACCCAGATTTCCAGTTGCAACTTGATCTTACTTTCTCCTTGTTCTGTGAAAGCTGCTGACACAGGGGCTTGCCACTGTCATACCCTTATGCCCCAAATCCTGGCTTCAAGTCCAGCTTTTCTTCAGATAGGACCACAATTAAACTACAATAGAAGAAAAATAACTTAATGCTAAATAGAAGTAGCATTCTTTTTCTTAAAATTCCATCAACTTTAGTGTCAGTCTGACTCCTGAAACTTCTCATGAAACTCGTATATTTTCTGTAGTTGGTATAGTAGTCATTCTGATCGCTTTAGATTTCTCTCTTCCAACTGGGTTTTTGCAACTTGGAGATCAAGATTATTGCACAACAGCATTAACAGCTAATAAATCGGGCTCCTCCTTGCCATTTTTCTGAGCAGGGCTGATGGAGCCAAGGCTCTACAGAACAGGGGGAGCCTTATTCTGAGGCTGACGCTTTACTTGGGTTCTAAGGCCAGGATTCCATGTAAGAGCCATGCTGCTCCTGATGAGGGACGTGGGCCTGAGATTCACCACAGTATAGGTCTATAATCTTTTTTCTGAAACCTTTTAAACCAACATGATTTAGAATTGTCCAGATTTCAGAGAAGAAATGTGTACATACTGCATATTATGTAACATCCCCTATTGGGGTCTGGAGTAGCATCCCCTAATCAAACATATTTATATTTCTGCAGCTAAATATTTAACTATAACTATACAACATAAATAGTCTAGTAGCAATTCAGTTCAGCTTTAACTGTCAAATGAGTTTAGATCCGACCAGTCTTTGTTGTCAAATGAGTTACCAAAACCCTTTCGGTTTTCAATTTTTTTGGATCTGGGATTTTATAGAGAAGAGATTGTGAGCCTGTAAATGCAAATAGCTGCCATTTATTGAGCATGCCTATGTTCTGGTGTAATCCCAAAAAGAGCCTGCACGGGAAGGCACTGTTCTTTGCTTCATGTCACAGATGAGGATGCTTCCATGTAGAGAGGTTGGGAAGATTCCCTGAGGGCACAGAGGTAGGATGAGTTCAAATCTGCTGGAGACCAATGCAAGACATGTGCTCTTGCCACTAAGATGTCCTCTCCCTAAGAAAATAACAAGCTTGGCTGGGCACAGTAGCTCACTCCTGTTAATTCCAGTGCTTTGGGAGGCCGAGGTGAGAGGATCCCTTGAGCCCAGGAGTTTGCAACCAGCGTGGGCAACAAAGAGGCCCAGTTTCTACAAAAAATAAAAAATAAAAAAATGCTGACTCTGGTGGCACATGCCTGTAGTATCAGCTACTGGGGAGACTGAGGTGGGAGGATTGCTTAAACCCAGGAGTTCGAGGCTGCAGTGAGCTATGATCGCACCACTGCACTCCAGCCTGGGAAACAGAATGAGACTGTAGAAAGAGAAAAGAAAAGAAAGAAAAGAGAAAAGGAAAGAAGAAAAGAAAGGAAAAGGAGGGGAGGGGAGGGGAAGGGAAGGGAGGGGAGGGAAAGAACTGGCTTGACAGATGGCCCGTCCCTCTAGGTGACCGCTTCCTTTATCTCAGGCCCCGTGCCCCTTGTTGCAAGCTGTCCTCCCTTAGCGTTAGCTCCAAGGGCTGTCAGGTGGACATGGATCCCCTGCCGTTTACGCAGGGCCTCTCTAGTTTTATTTTTAAAATCGTTTAGTGCCCCAGCCAAGCTGGGGGTGAGACTGGGTCTGGGGGCCTTCTTATTCCAAACCTAGTGCAGCATCTTGTGCCACTTGGCAGCTCCTGGAGGCTTTGTGACTCAATCAACACAAAAGGAACCTGTGGCTGATTTAGCTTCTGCTCTCCAAACCCTCCCTGGAGGAGCCCACCGCTGTTTTCATCTCAGCGGTCAGGAGACTTTGGCCAAAAGGAGAGCTGACCTGGTCTGACTATCGGCTCCCCCTTTGGGTGACCTTCAAGCAAACTTTCACTTACCCTCTTTTTTCTTCCTGTCCTCGCCTATAAAATGGGAGCCATGGGAATACTCCCATGGAGTCGTTCTGCAGAGGAAGTGAATTAGCTGAGCGAACCCCTGACTGCTCATGGTCTCCACTCGAAACACAAAGGCCCCCACCCCTTGGTGCTGCAGTGTGAAGTCCTAACTCCAATAAGGCTTACAAATGCTAGTGGTTTTTTTTGTTTTGTTTTGTTTTGCTTGTTATAATTTCAACTTTTATTTTAGATACAGGGGGTACATGTGCAGGTTTGTTACGGGAATACTGTGTGATGCTGAGGTTTGAGGTACAAATGATCCTGGCACCCAGAAAGTGAGCATGGTACCCAAGAGTTTTTCAACCCTTGTCCCCCTCTCTTCAGCCCCCCAATAGTCCCCAGTGTCTATTATTCCCATCTTTAGGTCCATGAGTACCCAATGTCTAGCTCCCACTTATAAGTGAGAACATGTGGTGTTTGGTTCTCTGTTCCTGTGTTAATTTGCTTAGGATAATGGCCTCCTGCTGCATCCGTGTTGCTGCAAAGGACATGACTTTGTTCTTTTTTTTTTTACGGCTTTGTAGTATTCCATGGTGTATATGCACCACATTTTTTTCACTTTTATTTTAAGTTCAGGGGTACAAGTGCAGGTTTATTACATAGATAATCTTGTGTCGTAGGAGTCTGTTGCACAGACTATTTCATCACCCAGGTATTAAGCCTAGTACCCATTAGTTATTTTTGCTACTCCTCTCCCTCCTCCCACCCTCCCCCCTCTGAAAGGCCCCAGTGTGTATTGTTCCCTCTATCTGTCCATGTGTTCTCATCATTTAGCTCCCACTTATAAGTGAGAACATACAGCATTTGGTTTTCCGTTCTTGTGTTAGTTTACTAGGGACAACGGCCTCCAGCTCCATCCATGTCCCTGCAAAAGACATGATCTTGTTCTTTTTTATGGTTGCATAGTATTCCATGGTGTATATGTACCACATTTTCTTTATCCAGTCTATCTCTGATGGACACTTAGGTTGATTCCATGTCTTTGCTATTGTGAATGGTGCTACAGTGAACATGCACATGCATGTGTCTTTATAATAGAATGATTTGTATTCCTTTGGGTATATACCCCGTAATGGGATTGCTGGATCAAATGGTATTTCTGTCTTTAGGTCTTTGAGGAATCGCCACACTGTCTTCCACAGTGGCTGAACTAATTTACACTCTCACCAACAGTGTATAGTGTTCCTTTTTCTCCACAACCTTGCCAGCATCTGTTATTTTTTGACTTTTTAATAGTAGCTATTCTGACTGGTGTGAGATGATATCTCATTGTGGTTTTGATTTGCATTTCTCTAATGATTAATGATGTTGAGCTTTTTCCCATACGTTTGTTGGCCACATGTATATCTTCTTTTGAGAAGTACCTGTTCATGTCTTTTGCTCACTTTTTAATGGGGCTGTTTTTTTCTTATAAATTTAAGTACCTTAAAGATGCTGGATATTAGACCTTTGTTGAATGCTTAGTTTGCAAACATTTTCTTCCATTCTGTTGGTTGTGTGTTTACTGTGTTGATATTTCTTTTGCTGTGCAGAAGCTCTTTAGTTTAATTACATCCCATTTGTCAATTTTAGCTTTTGTTGCAATTGCTTTTGGCATCTTTGTCATGAAATCTTGGCCCATGCCTATGTCCTAAATGGTATTGCCTAAGTTGTCTTACAGGATTTTTATAGTTTTGGATTTTACATTTATGTCTAATCCATCTTGAGTTAATTTTTGCATATCATGTAAGGAAGGAGTCTAATTTCAGTCTTCTACATAAGGCTAGCCAGATATCCCAGCCTCATTTATTGAATAGGGAATCCTTTCCCCATTGCTTGTTTTTGTCAGGTTTGTTTAAGATCAGATAGTTTTAGGTGTGCAGTCTTATTTCTGGGTTCTCTATTCTGTTCTATTGGTCTATGTGTCTGTCCTTGTACAAGTACCATGCTGTTTTGGTTACTATAGTACTGTAACATAGTTTGAAGTCAGGTAGTGTGATGCCTCCAGCTTTGTTCTTTTTGCTTAGGATTGCCTTGGCTATTCAGACTCTTTTTTGGTTTCACATGACTCTTAAAATAGTCTTTACTAGTTCTGTGAAGAATGTCAGTGGTAGTTTAATGGAAATAGTATTGCATGTATAAATTGCTTCAGGCAGTATGGCCATTTTACTGATATTGATTCTTCCTATTTATGAGCATGGAGTGCTTTTCCATTTGTTTGTGTCATCTCTGATTTCTTTAAGCAGAGGTTTATAGCTCTTTATGCAGAGATCTTTCACCTCCCTAGTTAGCTGTATTCCTGGGTATTTTAATCTTTTTGTGGCAATTGTGAATGAGAGTTCACTCCTGATTTGGCTCTTGGCTTGGTTGTTGCTGACGTATAAAAATGCTAGTGATTTTTGCACATTGATTTTGTATCCTGAGGCTTTGTTGAAGTTTAATCAGCTTCAGAAGCTTTGGGGCTGAGACAATGAGTTTTTCTAGATATAGGATCATGTCATCTGCAAACAGGGATAACTTGACTTCCTCTTCCAGTACTATGTTGAACAGGAGTGGTGAAAGAGGGCATCCTTGTCTTGTGCCTGTTTTCAAGGGGGAATGCTTCCAGCTTTTGCCCATTCAATATGATGTTGGCTGTGAGTTTGTCATAGATGGCTGTTATTATTTTGAGGTATGTTCTTTAAACATTTTGTTTACTGAAAGTTTTTAACATGAAGGGATGTTGAATTTTATTAAAAGCCTTTTCTGCACCTATTGAGATAATTATGTGGTTTTTGCCTTTAGTTCTGTTTATGCGATGATTCACATTTATTGATTTGCCTATGTTGAACCAACCTTGCATTCCAGAGATGAAGCTGACTTAATTGTGATGGATAAGCTTTTTGATTGCACCACATTTTCTTTATCCAATCCACCATTGATGGGCACTTAGGCTTATTTCATATCTTTGCTATTGTGAATAATGCCATGATGAACATATGAGTGAATGGTAGAACACTTTATTTTCTTTTGGATATATACCCAGTAATGAGATTGCTGGGTCAAATGGTATTTCTGTTTTCAGTTCTTTGAAAAATCTCCAACTGCTTTCCACAGGGGCTGAACTAATGTACATTCCCACCAGCAGTATATAAGTGTTCCCTTTTCTCCTCAACCTCATCAGCATCTGTTGTTTTTTGACTTTTTAGTAATAGCCATTCTGACGGGTGTGAGGTGGAATCTCATGGTGGTTTTGATTTGCATAAATGCTAGTGTTAAGATTGTCATCTCTGCTAGTTTCCCCACCATCCCTGCTGTTGCATGGCCATATTCTTCATTTTATAGAATATTGAATGTCATTTATTTCAGACCTGACCATTCCTTGATTGGCCTCATTGTACAGATCAGGGAAGAGGATCCCATAAAGTTGCCCAGGGCAGGCCTAACCTACAGGCAGGGCTGGGATTAGACTCCAAGGGTGGGGTTTTCCAAACAGTGCTGTGTTCTGTGGTAGCCAGTCATCTGGGTTTGCTGGGGTCTCTCACAGTGTTAACACTGAAAGTCCCTCTCTCAGAAAACCCCTTAGTCCCCAGCAAATCAGGACAGTTAGTCACCTTAAGCCTCTGGTATTTGTGAGCTTTGTCACTTTATTAATCAAAAGAGTATATTTGCTGTGCTTTTTACACAGCTTTTTACAGTGGGGAAGAAACTACCAATGCCAAGCTTGCATATCGGCAATTATTTTAAGCCACTGCCATCTAAAAATTCATAAAATAAACATTTTCAATTAGCCAAGCTGCTTTATTTTTAATACTTTACTTACATGTCATATCTCATTAGTTTATTCCAAATCTAATGAGTAATCTGTTGCTGGCTGTTCAGAAGAAGGAAATGCACTTTGAAGTTGACTGAGAGTGATTTCAACACTGTTAATAAAGAAATTCCACAAAGTTCTAACTAACTTTTGGGAGTAGCTTACAATCCATCAGACTTAATCCTCTATGTTTGAAAATGTTTGGCCCTCTGGAAAACATTATGAGGAGCTTTTGTGGTAGAGCGCACCGATGGAGTGGAAGTGCTATGCAAACTAAAACATCAAACGATGCATTAATCCTAACATCTTACTACAGTGCTCGTTTTTTTTTTTTTTTTTTTTTTGGAAGGAAGTGGATAAATCTAAGACTTCACTTAGACTGAAATATGCAGATACTCAAGAAAAGTGATTATTGTTCCCCTTGTTTCAATCTGTAATGAATGTTTATTGCATGCTTAATAGAGGCTTGTCCCAGGTATTGGCCATTGAAGTAAATTATATTGAAACAGACAGAGAATGGCTACTATCCTCATGGAGCTCCAGTCTAGTGGAAAAGAGAAAATTATATAATTACACAAATAGGGATGGCATTATAATGGTGATAAGTGCTTTAAAGCAGAGTGCTGGGTGCCCTGGGACTGTCTAGCAGTGTACCAAATCTAATCTGAGAAAATGACATTTAAATATAAATCTCAAGGATCAGTTAACCAGGTTCAGACTTTGGAAAATGGCATTCCATGTACAGAGACTAGCATGGATAAAGGCCCTGAGGTAGAGAAAGGGGTTGGCATATATTAAGATACTGAAAGAAGGCCATTGGGCCACTGACTTGATAGTAGCGGGAATAACATTTTAATTCTACAGCTGGAGATAACAACGACTTTGTGAACTCTACAAGCAATCAGAGCCTCTTTGGTAGTTCCACCAATGCCACACCCTTGCAGTAAGAGCTTCCAGTCAGTCCCAGTGACGTCATGGTGTTACCATTCCTGAAGACCTTGACATTATCAACTTCCTCAAGCTGTAACTGAGGCTCAACAGGGACAAGGCTTACCAAAACGCACACAGCCAGTCAGAGGCAGTGGAAATTGTGAGTGAGGTCCCTTGATCTGAAGTTCAAAGGCCTTTCCACAGCTCCTCTATTGCCCTCATCTTAAGACAAATTTTTCTTCTGGAGTCTTCCACTCCCAGAGCCCATTTGGATTTGCTGACCAGAAGAACACCTTTTCCCTCCTTTTCTCAGTGCTCCCAGCACCATGAGAGTCTGCCATTGGTGCAGTTCCTTTGCTGCCCGAGATGCTGTCCTCCACAATTGGTAGCAACACCCCAGCACCTGCAGGGGTGGTTGCGTCTCCAGTGGGAGCCTCAAAAGAATTTCTTGCAAAATCACCATCCTTGGTTCTCCTCCCGGCTACTATTTGGAGGCCGCCATTCATTTCGTTTGTAGTAGCCACGATGGGAATTGTCATAAATTCATTTGCTTTGAAAATCACTCACCACTTCATCATCCTCTGGGGCTCTGCTGCTCATCAGAGCCCAGTCTCAATGTTCCTCCTCACCCTGTTGCCATGGGTGACCCAACCACACAGTCACCATACACTGCGTTAGGATAGTCCCTTGTCATTCACTATCACAGAATGGATGGCAGGAAAACTCCACAGGCTCTCAGACATACGTCACTGGGAAAGCTTTGAGCATCAGATTAAAAAAAATTTTTTTTTAAAAAAAGAACAATCTTGCCTTTGAATGTAATGTATCCCTGCAAGGAAACCCTGGTACATGTTGTCCCACCGAGAGAGACAGGTGGGGGCCACTGCACTTTCTGGTTGGAAAGGGCTGGCTGCCAACACTTCTTAAGGATATGTGTCACTTTGTGGTATCCCTATTTCCCTCCCCAATAAAATAACAATTTGGAAGGGTTTGAGATGAAGAGAGTAAATCAATACCAGATTACAAAAGTTGCAAAAATGTTCCACCAATTCATCAAACTGCATCTGAGGGCTTGAGAACTGCCCTGGGAAAGAAGCACCCCCATACTTTGGGAAATCAATGGGCACCCCAACATTCTTGTCAAGTAACAAAAAGCCACAGAGGAGCAAGATTTGTTTTTAATCTTCAAGGTGATTATGTAAATGTTATGAAAGTAAGAATATTTCTGCAAGACTGTGCTTTTGAAATTGCTCTTTCAGCAATCTTTCAATGTTGCCATGCTGGGTCTGGAGAGTCAGGGCCCTGTTGGAGTTTCCTTATAAATCTTAGAAATAGAGGGCAAGGTGAGTAATGTCACTAACACATTCTTACTATTCTTACTAAACTTTTAAAGTCAGAATAATTTCTAAGTGTAAGATCAATTTATCTTTAAGCCATCACTATAAACAAGTTGATTCCCATACAACATGGACCCTTATTGAAAAGAAATAATACCTCCTTTCAAGGCTGAATTTAATTTTCAAGGTAAGACAGAATCTGTGAATATAAACAACTGCTATTAAGGAATGATGCACATCCCAATTTTGAGGAATTTTGTAATAATCCTTATAGAAGAGCTGAATGAGATTCGCCTTGTAGTAACATGAATACCTAGTGGGTTCATTAACTTACTATAAAGCATCTTGGAGAAAAGCAGCAAAAAATTGCTACTGGAAAGGAAATTAACTGGGCCATAGCCACACAGGGCTGTCAATGGCCACTCACAGTAAGCTGGCTTGAGAACTGACTGCATCTCCAAACCTAGGCTATCTAGCATAATGGCACATCCACCCAGAAATGTCCAACACAGTCCTATGATGCCAGTCTGAAAGAGAGATTTTCCGTACCTATTCTCATTTATTTTCTTCATTCTCATTATCTTTCTTCTCCTCATTCTTCTCACCTTCAAAAAAGTTTTAGAAGTTGCTGATTTTCTTATTGATTACTGAAAATATAAAGTGGTTCTCTGAAATAATATTTTAATATTGTACTTCACATTATTTTTAATGTTTAGCATTAGTGCATACCTTTTCTTCCAGATTAACTTTAAAATTACTTCTGCAAGTTCCTCCTCCAATGTCATGGGATATCAATCTACTTTTATGGATATTAAGTTAAATACATAATGTAAAGATACACATTTATTCATCTAATATATAGATATCTATTTTTTAGATGAATTAACTGAGCCTCAGAGAGTTAAAATTACTTCTTGCTAAAGATCACACAGCCAGCATTTTCAGAGCCAAAATTTAAACACAGGTCTGTCTGATGCCAATTAAAATGAGCATATAAATTATTTTTAATATAAAAATCTGAAACCATTTTATTATTTTAGATAATTACAGAGTTCTATGTATGATTGAGTCATAAGGAACAGATTTGTCATTGACAATTACTATAATCATACCAGTAAGGCACTTAAATAATCTTTTAATTAGTAAAATAGAGAATCATCTTGAAATGTGTCACATAAAAATGCACATTAATATATTCTGATTATGATTTTGGTGAAATAAGAAAGTACTGGCTGGGTGCAGTGGCTCATGCCTGTAATCCCAGCATTTGGGGAGGCCGAGGCGGGTGGATCACATGAGGTCAGGAGTTGGAGACCAGCCTGACCAACATGGTGAAAGCCTGTCTCTACTAAAAATACAAAAAATTAGCCAGAAGTGGTGGTGGGCACCTGTAATACCAGCTACTCAGGAGGATGGGGCAGGAGAATCACTTGAACCTGGGAGGCGGAGGTTGCAGTGAGCCAAGATCATACCATTGCTCTCCAGCCTGGGTGACAAGAGTGAGACTCCGTCTCAAAAAAAAAAAAAAAAAAAAAAAAAAAAAGTATTGAAATATTCACCAAAACTAGTTTTTAACAAAAAGTCAAAACAAAACAAATGACCAGGTAAGGCCATCTGATTTCAGCTTAGTATGTATTCATCTAGGTAAGAATATACCAAAAGGACAGTAGAGTAGAAGTGATTCTGTTATTATTGTGATTACATTAATGTTCATATTTACAGAATACTTTTGTTCACATTGTTTCATTTGATTCTGTTTTACAGATAGATAGTAAAAAGACTCAAGAGAAGATTAGTTACTCCTGAAAGGTAATGGTACCAGTAAGAGGAAACTGATATCAAGACTTGTACACTGATCTTCTTACTTTAAAATTGTCTTCAAACATAGATTTTTTAAAAAAACAGACAGTATTTTTTAAAGCAGTTTTAAGTTCTGCAAAATTTAGCAGAAAGTACACAGTTCCCATATACACACATGCGCACCTTTCCCCCTGCCCCTGCCTTCCCCCGCGCACTATCAGTATCTCTCACTAGAGTGGTACATGTGTTACAGTGGAGGAATATTCATTGACACATCACTACCGAAAGCCCATCATTTACCTGAGGGTTCACTGGTTGTATTGCACAGATTTTTAGATTTTGACAAATACATAATGGCATGCATCCACCATTGTAGTTTCACACAGAGTAATTTCACTGCCCTAAAAATCCTCAGTGCTCCACTTACTCATTCCTCTCCTTTTTCCCTTTCCTACCCCACCCAATCACCTTGTAACCACTAATCTTTTTGCTGGCTCTATGGTTTTATCTTTTCCAGTATGTACAATCGTACAGTATGTAACCTTTTCAGACTAGCTTCTTTCACTGAGAAATATGCATGTAAGTTTCCTTCATGTGTTATCATGGCTTGATAGCTCATTTCCTTTTAGCACTGAATAATATTCCATTGTATGGATGTACGACAGTTTGTTCATCTGTTCACCTATTTAAGAATGTTTTGGTTGCTTCTGATTTCTGGCAATTATGAATAAAGCTGCTGTAAACATCTGTGTGCAGATTTTTGAGTGGACATAAGTTTTCAACTCATTGAATAAATACCAAAGAGCATAATTGCTGAATTTTACATTAAGAGTATATTTAGTTTTGTAAGGAACTGCCAAACTGTTTTCCAAAGTGGCCATACTATTTTGCATTCCCACTAGCAATAAATGAGTGTTCCTGTTGCTTCACTTCCTCACCATCATTTCATGTCAGTACTTTGGATTCCTGCCATTCTGATAGGTGTGTAGAAGTATATAATTTTTGTCTTAATTCACAATTCCCTAACAGCATATGATGTGGAGCATCTTTTCATATGTTTATTTACCATCTATATATTTTCTTTGCTGTAATGTTTGTTCAGATCTTTTGCCCATTTTAAAATCAGTTTGTGTGTTTTCTTATTGTTGAGTTTTAAGGGTTCTTTGTATATTTTGGATAATAGTTCTTTATCAGATATGTCTTTTGCAAATATTTTCCCCCAGTCTGTGGCTTGCCTTCTCATTCTCTTGACAGTGTCTTTTGCAGAGCAGAAGTTTTTAATTTGAATAAAATCTAGCTTATCTGTTATTTTTTTCATGAATCATGGCTTTAGTGATGTATCTTAAAAGTCATCTTCAAACTCAGTATCATTTAGATTTTCTCCTGTTATCTTCTCAGAGCTTTATAGTTTTGTATTTTACAGTTAGATCTGTGATTTTTTTTTTAGTTAATTTTCGTGAAGTTTATAAGGTCTGTGTCTGGATTCTTTTTTAAAATTTTTAAATTTTTAAAAATTTTCCCCTCCTCTCCTCTATTCTTTTTTCTCTAAAGAGGATTTCCAGTTGTTCCAGCACCATTTGTTAGAAAAACTATCTTTTCTGCATTGTATTGCCTTTGCTTCTTTGTCAAAGATCAGTTGAATATGTTTGTGTGGGTCTATTTCTGGGCTCTTTATTCTGTTCCATTGATTTATTTGTCTCTTCTTTCACCAGCACCACACTGTGCTGATTACTGTAACTTTACAGTAAGTTTTCATGTTTGGTAGTGTTAGTTCTCCAATTTTGTTCTCCTTCAGTATTGTGTTGTCTATTCTGGGTCTTTTTCCTCTCCATATAAACTTTAGAATTAGTTTTTTGATAGCCACAAAAAATACTTGCTGGGAGTTTGACTGGGATTGTATTAAATCTGTAGATCTAGTTGGGAAGAATCAACATCTTGATAATAGTGAGTCTTCCTATCCATGAATATGGGATATCTCTCCACTTAGTTCTTTGATTTCTTTCATCAAAGTTTTTTCTCATATAGGTAATAAATATGTTTGCTAAATTTGTACCTAAGCATTTCTTATATTTTCCTCTGTAAATTTTTGTAGTTTTTCTCATATGGACACATTTCTTTAAGCTTATTCATAGGTGCATTATATATTTTGGCTGCCACACATTCACTTTTCAAATATCCAATAACTTACTTGGTAGCAGGCCCCCTATTGGTAGCAGGTATTGGTGATTCTATGGGAAACAAAAATAGATTTGGTAACTGCCCTTATAACATTTACAGTCAAGTAGAGGATGCACATACTAACAAATATCACATAATGTAAAACATAACTGTGATATAAGCTGTAAAGGAGAAGTAAATAGTAATATAAGATTATATAATAAGGAAATTTGACCTGGGAAGGTCAACACAGATTTCTCTGAGGAAAGGACAATTGACCTTTGAAGGATCAGGCTTCAAAGAAGAAAGAAAACTATATTCCAGGCAGAGGGAAGAGTTACGTGCAAAGGTGAGGTGGGAAAGCAGTACAAGTTTCTGGGGGAAAAAATGAGAGCACATAGAATGAGAAGGAGTGTGCTACTGGTTGAACTTGGTAAGGATAGCTTAACCTTCTAGGGTCTGGGTGTGGGTCTTTAATCTAGGAGTGATACGGAGCCACTGGGGGATTTTAGGCAGAGATCACTTGATAAGATTTGCTTTTCAAAAAATTTCACATTGCTGGTGGATGAAAACTCATCAGAGGTGGCATGAGTAGATGTGGCAAGACACAAATGAGGCTGTGGCCTTGTATGTGCATAAATATGTACATGTATATGTGTTGAATTTCTCAAATCAATTAGAATGCCACCTTATTCTTTCCCACAACAGGCCCTTCAAATCTGTTCTTTTGACTTGTTTTTTTCCATTGCTAGCTTAATCACAAGCATGTCTATAGTTATCTGGTCATTTTTTACATAATAGAAGTTCAGCCCTATAAAATAAATGCATAGCTTAAATTTGTGGTCTAATCAAAAACATGTTGATATAATTTGGGTGTTTATTTGTCCCTGCCCAAATCTGATGTTGAAATGTAATCCCCAGTGTTGGAGGTAGGGCCTGGTGAGAAGTGTTTGGATCATGGGGGTGGATTCCTCATGAATAGCTTGGGCCATCCCCTGGATGATGATTGAGCTCTTGTTCTGAGTTCGCATGAGATCTGGTCATTGAAGTGTGTGCCCCACCCCCACTCACTCTCTTGCTCGTGCTCTGCTTTCTGAGGCACTGACTTTCCCTTTGGCTTCCATGAGTAAAAGCTCCCTGAGGCCTCCCCAGAAGCTGAGCAAGTTCTGTCACAAAGCTCCCTGTACAGCTGACAGAACCATGAGCCTATTAAACCTCTTTTCTGTATAAATTACCGCAGCCTCGGGTATTTCTTTATGGCAATGCAAGAATGGCCTAATACACATGTCTCCTTCCCCAGTGGTTTGGAAACCTGCAGTGGAAATAGGCACTTTGGCCAACTTCTTTTCCCATGTCTGGCTCCACCAACTCACCTATTTGCAAGCTATTGTTTTAACCATCTCCAAGGTTGGGCACAGGCTAGGAGTTAGGGGAAAGTAGGAATAGAGAGGACAGCTAAAGGACAGAAAAGTCTTACCTGGCTGGTGCAGTTGTAACCTAGAATAGATGCCCTCTGCATATAGCAGACTCCTTATGAAGATGCACTCTTTTTTGGGGTGTTCCTATGAGGTCCTTAGGGTCCTCTCCTCTGTAATTCTCCTTGACTATTGCTAGGATCTCTCACATACAGCTACCTTCACATAGGCAGTGCTCCTCTTACTGGCTGCTAATGACTAGCACCATGAATTCCAGGAGTTTGTCTCTCTGTTAGGAGTCACATATGACCAACATAGTTCCTCTCAAAATGATATAATCCAGCTTCATTCTTTGGACCCAATATTTGGCCCATAGGAAATTTACACGTTCTTTCCCCTTCCCAACTGAGGAAGTCAAGCTTTTCTAATCAACTTCTTCCCTTGGCTTTGTTATCTTGGAGCTCCTGGCCAGTCATAGCCTCTTACCTTTACTCTTTTCAGGGATCAATCAGATACCAGGCCTGTCTCTCTCTAACCAGGGGACCCATGTCAAGCTTTTCAAATAGTACTCTTAAAACCCTACTTCAAAGACTCTCTCTTTTTCTTCCATGGGTGAAATACATGGCCCATTAGCCATTCTTTAAAAAGAAAAGAAAAGAAAAAAAAAACCTCAACACAGACCTCTTTAATTACAATGAATTCTTTGTCTTCTCTTTTATATCCTAGAGGGGAGTGATGGGCCAATTCTGGCAGAGGGTTTCACAATTTCTTAGCCTGTCCTGCATGGACAGTCTAGTGCCACCCAAGAGGTGCAGGATGGGGAGATATTAAACAACTCTTGTATTTGTTCTCAGATTTGGGGGACATAGCTGAAACTCTGAGTCAACAGGAAAGTCCCATCTTAACATAGTATTATACATATGTCATGAGCTCCTACTGGTAGCTCTTCAGTACATTATAATTTAAGTTATGTACCTTGGCAAAATAAATTTGGAAAACACTCTATTGTTTTGCTTTTAAATATGATGTAA
Organism: Homo sapiens; assembly: GCF_000001405.40. Classification (NCBI taxonomy): domain Eukaryota; kingdom Metazoa; phylum Chordata; class Mammalia; order Primates; family Hominidae; genus Homo; species Homo sapiens. The sequence goes on along the minus strand of NW_014040928.1, from coordinate 50,759 downwards.
GCTACTGGGTTGAGATAATTTTTTAATCATTTTGAGAGACTATTCTATATGTAATTTGTTTAACTTCTATCAGAAATGGATGATGAATTTTGTTAAATGTCTTTTAACATTTATTAAGGTGAACATAAAGTTTCTCTCTTTTGGCCTATTGATGGAATCAATGACATTTCTAGATTTTCTAGTATTAAGTCATTCATGGTTTTCTAGAGCATTAATCCTTTAACGTGATGCTAGATTAGATTTGCTAGTGTTTTTTAAAAATGTTTTGTATCTGTAGTCATAAGCAGGCTTGGCCAAAAATGTTTTGTGCCATCTTTGTCAGGTTTCACTATATGCTAGCTTTTTAAAGAAAATGTAAGGAATTCCATATTTTATTTAAATTATAGCTCTCTTTACAATTTTTTAGTTGAAGTCATATATGTATAGAAAAGTATATATATCAACTAATTTTCACAAAGTAAACACAGCTGAGTAACAAGTATCTCCAACACTCCCTCTTTTACTACCTATCCCCCAGAAGGGTAACCACTACTCTTATTTTTAACAGCATAGGCTAATTTTATCTGTTTTTATATTTTATCTGAAGGGACTCATACATATGTATTTTTCTGTGGTTTTCTTTAACTCAATATTATGTTTGTGAGATTCAGTCTTATTATTGTGTGTGACTGTATATAACTCATTCTGTTCAAAATATAATATTCTGTTGTGTGAATATACCAAAAATTACTTCTTAATTCTGCTACTGATGGCATTTGGGTTGTTTTCAGTTTGAGGCTATTACAAATGCTGTTTTTGGCCGGGCGCGGTGGCTCACGCCTGTAATCCCAGCACTTTGGGAGGCAGAGGCGGGCGGATCATGAGGTCAGGAGATCGAGACCATCCTGGCTAACACAGTGAAACCCCGCCTCTACTAAAAATACAAAAAATTAGCCGGGCGTGGTGGCGGGCGCCTGTAGTCCCAGCTACTCGGGAGGCTGAGGCAGCAGAATGGCGTGAACCCTGGAGGCGGAGCTTGCAGTGAGCCGAGATCGCGCCACTGCACTCCAGCCTGGGCGACAGAGCGAGACTCCGTCTCAAAAAAAAAAAAACAAAACAACAACAACAACAAAAAAAAACCAAATGCTGTTTTTATGAACATTCTAGTACATGTTGTTTCTTTAAATATATGCACATATCTCTGTTGGGTATATACTTAGGAGTAGAATTGCTCTTAACTAATGCATATTGGTTGTTGGTCATTTTCTGATTGTTTTGTGGAAGTCTTGTGTATATTTAGGATGCAAAGTAAAAGGATGAAAAAGATATATCATAATATATCATACAATCAGTAACCATAAGAAGCTAGAGTGGCTATGCTGATATTGGAGAAGACAGACTTTAAAACAAAAATTTTCACTAGGGACAAATAAGAACATTTTACAACACTTAAAGGGTCAATTCATCAGGAAGATGTGACAATTTTAAACATACGTGCACCTAACAACAGAGCCCCCAGATATACAAAGCAAATATAGACAGAATGGATAGAAGGAAAAATAGATAATTCACAAGTAATAATTGGAGACTTATACACCCCACTTTCAGAAATAGATAGAAAAACTAGAAAGAAGATCAACAAAGAATAGATGACTTTGATATAGGAGTGAACCTTCATGACTTGAGGTTAGGCAAAACCTTCTTAATTAAGACACTAAAACCACAAGTGACAAAAAAAGGCAAATTAAGTTTCATAAAAATTTAAAACTTTATTGTTTCAAAGAAGATCATCAAGAAAGTGAAAAGATAACCCGCACAATGAGAGAAAATATTTGCAAATCGTATATCTGAAAAAGGGCTTGTATTTAGAATATATAAAGAACACCTACAACTCAATAATAAAAAGAAAAAATAACCCAGTTGAAAAATGGGCAATGAATCTGAGCAGACATCCCTTCAAAGGTGATATACAAATGGCCATTAAATACGTGAAAAGACACTCAACATTCTTAGTCATAAGAGAAATGCAAATCAAAACCACAATGAAATAACACTTCATATCCACAGAAATGGCTATAATTAAATAAAAATATAAATAATAGCAAATGTTGACAAGGATGTAGAGAAATTAGAGCCCTTGTATATGGCTAATGATAATGAAAATAGTGCAGCCACTTTGGAAAACAGTCTGGCAGTTCCTCAAAGTGTTAAACATATAATTACCATGTAACCCAGCAATTCTACTCCTAAATACACATGTAAGAAAAATGAAAACACACATGTACATAAAAACATAAGTTTTATGTACATTGTTCATAACAGCACACAACCAAAATGGCAATCAACTGATGAATGGATAATTTGTTGTATATCTATGCAATGAAATGTTGTTCAGCAATAACACAGAATGAAATACTGATACATGCTACATCATCAATGAACAAAACCTTATGTCCAGTGAAAGAAGCCAGTCACAACTGACCACATATTGTATAATCTCATTTACAGGCAATGTCCAGATTATGCAAATCCGTAGGACAGAAAGTAGATTCATGGTTGCCTGGGTTTGGGAAGTTTGAGGAGGGGAAGATGGAGAATGATTGCTAATTGCAAGATTTCTCTTATGGGTAATGAAATATTCTAAGCTTGATTTTGATAATGGTTGTACAACTCTGAATACACTAAACACCATTGAATTGTACACTTTAAATGTGTGAATTGTATGATATGTGGATTATAACCCTTTAAAGCTGCTAAAAAAGAACAATTTTGATCTTAAGCCATTCAAGCTTACATTCTTTAAAGGATTATTATTCTTTTATATTTCCCACAGTGCTCAGAATACACTGCTAAGTGGTTAATAAATGCTACTGAATTGAGTAAAACGTTTAGTGAAACTGGACTGACTGATTCAACAGGGTGCTTTTAGATTTCTCCTGTGCACAGAGAATTAGACCATCCCATGGGCTTGCTATGATGAAGAACAGAACCCTTCCCTGGGATAGATGAAAAGGAGAATCACCCCAAACAACAAGACAACCAAGCTACGAGCAGGCACGCTCCTATCTGCATGACTGATAAAGACCATCTGATGCCGCCAGTTACTCAGTGAGGCCATTCTCTAGGCAAAGTCACAATATTTATTTTAACACCAGTGACTATTGAGTGTGTGTGTATATCTATGTAGTGATAAAACACTGCTGTAATATGTACACAGGATCTGAACAAGATCAATTCATCAGGACCATCATGCAGTCTACATATGAGAGAGGTTGTTTATGTAGTGGGTTGATAGAATACCGTGATACAAGCCACAGAAAAGCACTGTCTGATGTTCATAATGCATGCTATGTATTTCACAATATGGGCATTATGTAAATAATTAATAGCATGGACTAGAGATAGCATTGATAGGAAGGAGAGAGACAGCATGCAAGAAAGTCTGCTCAAATACGCTAATGAGTAGGATAGAAATATTTCACCAAGCACATCACACATTTTAGGGACTCTTGTTATCAAGCATTGTCTTGTGGGATGGCTGATTTTTCTTCTCAATGACTGCCAGTCCTACAGATACAATTTTGAAGTATTTTATTTGTAAATTTAAAAAGCTGTTTCCACTGTCTATGTGTATGAAAGTCAATGTGGAAAGAAATTGCCCCATGAAATAGGACAATAAAATGCAACTATTTGAACTGCTTAGATGCCAGTCTTTTTCTCAGAAATGTTCTATTCAGGAATACAGTAAGCTTAATTGGCAAGATATTGACTAGCCTATATGTAATTTATCTTTCAACCATTACTCAGTGTTTCCCCAAGTACCCTGTTGTCTACCTAGAGAGGAGCACTGTACTGATGAGCTGGAGCTCAGGTCCCCAAGGATGTCTCCTTTTCCTAATACATATATATTAATTCCCATTAACCTCATTTAGAGTAAGGAGTAATGTGGGCATGAAGAGGAGGCCAGACAGCCAGATGGCTGTGAGTGTCTGTTACGGTATATGAGTAACTCTTCCCACTATTCAGCCTTTATTTAACCAATGAATTCACATGATGAGTAACTCATTTTTGAGGACTGGTTTGCTTTCCTCCAGGATAACTGACAAAGACATGAACTCTCTCATACCCTTTCCTAGAGCTAGAAGTTACGAAAGCTGTGAAAGACACTGAAAAAAGGTAACTCTCCAAGTGAAGGCAGCCATTTACAGAGGGAAAGTGCACCGGAGGAGCATTTGTGAAAGTGCAGTCACCAGCAATAGCCCAGTGAGCTTCCCTCCCAAAACGGAGAGGCCAATGAATCATGGCTGCTCCCTGTCCATCAACACCCCGCCTCACCCCCACCCACTTAGACCTTGGTGGAAATGGCAAGAAAACCAAACAGCTATTTATACATTTCTTTTTGAAGTCCTAAAACTCAGTGGTGGCATCAATTGACTTCTCTCTTCAACTCTCAACCCTTAAGGAATAAAAAAGAGGAATCAGCTGATGGCCATCTCTGAGGCTGACCCAGAGAGTTAAGGAGACTGCTGGCCTCACCTCCTCTGTCTTTAGGTGTTCAGGGAACACAGCTCTAGGGCTTCAGGATTTGCAGTGATTATTTAGGTCCTCTGATTAGAGGCAGGGTTGGAGTCTCTTCAGTAAAATCATCGTGTCCGGCTTCTAGAAAAATTATTATTGCAACCCTTTGAACAAGAAAAAAAACCCCTCTATTTTTAATTTAAACAATAAAGCAAAGAACTTGAAAGTATATCTCAGAGTGGTGTTAAGAAGCCAAGAAGTGTTAAGAAGTGGTGGTGGTGTTAAGAAGCCAAGAAGATGGTGGCCGACTGGGTCAAACGGCACTGTGAGCACAAGGCAGATGCAGGTGGAAAAGTGTGTTTTGTGATCCTGTTGGTATGAATGATTTCTCTCCCAGAAGAGTAGCTTGGTGGATCCATCTTAGGCTGGGGGTTTCCAGGCAAGTACAATGGAGGGAGAGAAACAAGAGAGCTTTGAGGGTGCTTGTGAAGATGGAGCCAACCATTAATTAAGCCATGAATTAATTAAGCCATGAAAGGAAGGATGAGAGAACATGGGGACCTGATGAGTAATAAGAAAATTAGGGAGTTAGTGAAGTGGCCGTCGTGGGTTCATTTAAACCTCAAAATAACCCCACAGTGTTACCGGGGATTAAAGAGATTAACTTGCCCAAGGTCACAAAGCTAATAAAAAGCAGATTGCAGATTTCAACTTGCTTTGTCTGACATGAAATCTAGTGTGTGAGGCACCACTATACATATCCACAGACACTGTAACTTCCCTTCCGCCTCTGGGTAATGTGCCAATTCCAGTCTACCGTAACTGAAACCAGCAGGGGAGAGTTCCAAGTGTGGACTAGGCCGAACTGATCCAACTACAAGACAATCTCCCTTTGGGGTGTCCCGATCCCACTGTGAGGTATGATCCTCTCACCCAGAGCATGTCTACAGAGCATCAAGTAACAGGATGGCTGAGAAAGTCCACATTTTATATGAAGCTTTTCTGTTTTAAAAATCTTTCAGCACTGTGTGTGCATACAATCATTTTTAATTATAGTTTTTAGCTCCTAAAAACTATAATGCATATATATGCTTTGGGATTATAGCCATCTGTTCTAAGTCTCACAATATATTCCAGATATAAAAAATAAAACATAAAACAAAATTTGAAGAAGTCAAGCCAGAGTTTGTAGTTGCATAAAAAGTCTCTTACTTGCTTGATGAATGATAGTGACTTATGGAATTATTTAACATCTTCATCCAGGTGTTTTTTTTTTTCCCATTAATAATAGTATAGCAGCTCAGATAGTTTACCAATCTAAGATCATTTTAATGGTGATGTGTTACTTTTCTCTTGCTTTGGATATTTAAAGCAAGATTTGCAAAGTTGTTTGTTCGTTTGTTTTTGCAGTTCCGTACTTTTTAGTCTTTGGGATGCCCCTCATGAGCAAAGTGTTAAAGGAGAACCCTGTTTCTCTATGTAATTGTAAATGCATAAGCTTGTAGCATCTCAGACTTAGAACCACATTGGAAATCTGGTCGGCGTCCCACGGGGTACAGGAAGCCTCCAGGAGGGGTCCCTGACAGCAGTTACCAGATTCTTCTTAGCCACTTCTGACAACAAACTGCGGAGGCTTAGCCCATCTTTTAACTGCTCTGATTACAGCTCCCAGGGAGGAGACAAACCTTTAAGAGGTCTTCCTAAACCTAAGTGTCCCCCTTGCAGGTCACTTCAGGATATAACTGAATCCAAATTATTAACTAAAGATGTAACGTGTTTTCTCTACTCCCAACCGCTCTCCAAGAAATGTCTTGACTTGCAGCTGCTACCAGAAAGAAAAAGCGAGAACGCCGGTGGCGCCTTCTCACGGACTCTATCAGAGCATGGATAGATTGTGTGCCCTGGGGGGCTGATGTGGACAGGAACACCAGGTTCTCCCTCGTTTGTTCTTTATCTGTACTTACTGCACGTTTTTCTGCCATGGACTTTTTATTATTCTAAATTGTGAGTGAGATAATAGTTGGTTTCTCAAAGTGCAAAGGCTAAACCTACTGATAAACTTCAGCCGCTACCAAAGGATAAACGCCACCCAAACTGCCAAAACAATCATGACCTCACTTCCTGCATGGAGTCTGAATGCTTCACCAGAAACTCAGAGAACCCGGCAGGCAAGGCTCTGGCACGGGTCACAGGCAGAGATCAATGAGTCATCCAAGCCGTTCCTTGGCCAATTCTTTTAAGGAAGGAAGATATGGAGCAAGTTATTTTGCTCCATCTCCCGTATCACTACTTGTGTCTCGGGAGACTTTGCTATCATCAAGCCTTTCAAAGAGATGAGTTTGATTCCCACTGTTCCTACCAGTAAAATTTACTTGTGGGATTTTCTAAAAGTCTGGGCCAAACATCAAACAACTTAGACGTTCCTATCCTCCCCAACGAATGGATTTTCAGGTCTGGTGTGAAAAACCTCCATTTGGGGCCAGGCATGGTGGCCCATGCCTGTAATCCTAGCACTTTGGGAGGCTGTGGCAAGCAGAACACCTGAGTTCAGGAGTTTGAGACCAGCCTGCCCAACATGGCAAAACCCCCGTCTCTACTAAAAATGCAAAAATTAGCTGGGTGTGGTGGTGCATGACTGTAATCCCAGCTACTCAGGGGGTTGAGGAAGCAGAATTGTTTGAACCCAGGAAGCAGAGGTTGCAGTGACCTGAGATCGTACCACTGCACTCCAGCCTGGGAGACAGAGCAAGGCTCCATCAAAAAAAAAAAAAAAAAAGTCCTCCATTTGGGGTGTGGTGGTGCATGCCTGTGGTCCCAGCTACTCCAGAGGCTGAGGTGGGAGGATCACTTGAGCCCAGGCAGTCGAGGCTGCAATGAGGCATGATCACGCCACTGTAATCCAGCCTGGATGACAAAGTGAGACCTTGTCTTAAAACAACAACTGAAAAAACACCTCCATTTGTATAATAGCCAGACCAGAAAAGGATACATTTAATTTGCAATACTAATTAGAGTTTTCTAAGATGAATATTTAAGACTTCCTGAAAGCATTGGCTTGGGAGTTTCTGAAGGTCTGAAAAAAAACCAGTAGCATTTGTGCGATTCTTGAAGTTCTAATGGTCCTAAAACAGATAAAACCGTTCCCAATGCCCGATGGGCTGTCAAATTGCTCCAGGGAAACGGAACAAATATTGTTGGAAGGGCCACGATGGAACAAGTCTTGTTGGTTCTACAGACACAAAGTTACTAAGGCCTTGACCTATCTGTGATTCTCAAACACAGTGGGAAGGACTAAAAGAATGCACAGGATCCGAGGGAAGCCCAGAGGAGAGCCCTGAGCCCAGCCCCGCCTTGGAAAACAGGGTCTGGAAGGGCTTTTCACGGTGGGCACCCTGACTGGGTTTTAGAAGGCAAGTAGGAATTAATGAATCCAGCTACAGTGTAGCAGGATAAAAGGAAATTAGAAATTGAAATGAGAAGGCCTATGTTTAAGACATGATTATTGTTATGTACTGAACGTTTGTGTCCCTCCCTCATCACTCATATGTTGAAGCTCTAACCCCCAATGGGATGAGACCTTGGGAGGTAATGAGACCTTGGAGATGGACCTTTGGGAGGTAATGAGAGTTACATTAGGTCTTGAGGTTGGGTCCTGCATGATGGGATTTGTGACTTTATAAGGAGAGGAAGCACCCACTGAGGAAGGGTCATGTGAGGACGCAGCAAGAAGGTGGCCCTCTGCAAGCCTGGGAGAGAGCCCTCCCCAGCACCCAACCCTGCCGACATCCAGATCTCAAACTTCCAGCCCCCAGAACCATGAGAAAACAAATGTGTGTTGCATAAGCCACCCAGGCCATGGTATTTTGTTATGGTTGCCTAAACAGACTAATATAATTTTTCTCCCTTATTACCTGTGTAACCTTCTTAGAGAAAATAACTTTATGTTTCTAAAACTGTTTCCATTTTATAAAATGGTGATGCGAATACCTAGTTTGCAGCATTGTTTAAAAGTTAAATGAGATAGTATTTCCATTCCAGCCAGAAACTGTGTGCCCATGACCTGGGGATGAGAGAGACTGAAGAACTGAAATCTCACCATCCTAAAACAGATCTGTTTGCACTTTGATCATTTCTTAAATACAAAGATTTCTCCCAATGACTGCATACATTTCATGTGGTAGTGTTGTCTTTCTTCTAGAAATCTGTTATTAAACATTATTGTCTCTTCAACAAATGGGATCTTAGAATCAGGGAAATATCTGGTCATGGTTTTGCCTGGAACAAGGAGCAAAGAGAGACCAGGCTGTGGCAGGAGAGGGGGCTGCAGAGGTAAGCATGGGACATAATTCATGGGGGCAGCCAGGCTTGGAAAAGAGCAAGGACAGGATAGAGTTTATACGTTGGTAGCTGGGAAGACAGGCTGAAGGCTTGGGAGTCTTACGGAGGCAGGAAAACACGTGGTGCAAATAACTGGAGCAAGAGTCCAACAGACCCAGTGCAGACAGAAAGTGGTCATTTGAACATGGGAATTCTCATATGGGGGAGTTTTGGGGAATGCATGGAACAAGCATAGCCAAGAGGGTGGCTGGTTGAAATGGAATCCAAGTAAAGGTCACTGGAGTCAAGGGGGTCAGGAAAATATTGTCTGGAGTGTTGGACCCATGTGTACATTGGCCTTTGATGTTCTGCAAGATGACAGGACACAAAGTGCAGAAGGCTGCTGCCAAAGCCTCCACAGCTTCTTCTCCTGAGTTGCTAACATGGGTGAGGGGTACCACTGTCTACCCAGTGATCCAAGCCAGGAACCTGGTATTCATCCTCATTTTCTCCCTCCCCTTCACCCCTCCATCCCACCAAGGAGGCCCCTCACTCACAGTGGCTACTTGTACAGCAGCTCTGCACCTCTTGCCAAAGGAGAGGCCTCACAAACACTGGCTGTGAGCTTGTGTGGTGAGGCCATGCAGGCCTTGTGGAGTCTTGACTCTTCCTTTTGTAGCTTGGTCAATGAGGGCTGTTGACCCAAGCACTGGGCTTCATCTGCTTCACTTGTAAGAGAGGATAATAATTGTACCTGCCTCAGAGGTAGTCGTGGCGGATTATGAGATTACACAAACATGGCATTGTGTGTGCATGTTGCACAGCCTGGCATACAGGAAGTGCTCACTAGGTGCTAGCTGTTGATGAGGTGGTATTAGTGGTGTTTTAGAATGCAGAACCAAACACAGGAAAACCCAGTTCTTCTTTGGTGGTAACAGAGGAAGAATGCATATCTCAAGTCAAAACTTAAGTGTAGTAAGAAGACAGTACAAGATTGAATATAAAGAACGGTGGGAATTGAGGACTGAACAGACAGAGGGGACCTTTGAGAATTCACTGGGGGTGGGAACTGATGTCAGCCCACATGGGAACCCTAACAGATGGGAAACAGAAAGGTTTGGCCAGCAGGGCAGAAGGATGGAATTCATGTGCCCTCTGGAGACCCTGTCCAGGAAGGGTGGAGGGGGTAGTGGACCACCGCTACTGCCCAGCCTGAGCAAGCAGAGGGCCCAGAGGCAGGGTGAAGCCCAGGGGTCTTTCAGGCTTCCTCAAACCAGCTCATGTGGAGGAGTCCTGGGAAAGCTGGAACTCGAAACACTGATGCCAGCGTCCATGAAGCATTGTGGGGACTGGTGAGATGAATGGGCTCTGCACCACAAAGTTACCAGGGAATTCTCAGTGTCTACAAGCACTCACTTGGTGTTTGACATCCCGAATTTCCTCAGCTCCATCTTGTAAAATTTTCCACACATTCCTTTTCTGAAATTGGAACATGTCTTGTTGTGGTTGTTTTCTTTGTCCCCAAAATGCTATGCATTCAGTCCATAGTGCTACCATTAATGGCACCATAGACCCAAGGAAACACAAAATGTCTCATGATAGTATTGGTGAATGAAATAAGAAATGCTAGTTAAACTTCTTACGTAACCTTATGGTATTTGACCTGTAAGTCACTTACTCTGATGCATGCTAGGAAAAGTAAATACTCTGACCAATGATACACGATGCAGCTCATTACCTAGGGAAACTCACGTTCAAATAAATTGATTGGGAGGTTACACACAGTCAGGAAATTGGCTCATTGGAGGTAATCATAGCTGAGGCCCACACTGCCTGGCCAGCTGGAGTGGATGTCTGACTGCTCCCAGCCCAGGGCAGCCTTTCCAGTAAGCCCTTCTGAGTATCTCCAAGTTCAGTGCTCAAAAGCTTTCCACATTCATCCCGAAGCCTTGACAAATGTGCCTTTGCTTACTGAAGCTTCCAAAAGAAAAGGTTACATGAAATCTGAGTGGAATACAAATAGTTCTTCCTTTCAGGGACTTCATTCTCTGGGAGCTCATGTCAGAAAACGAACTTCCTCCGTGACCACTAGGGAGCTCCCATTGGTGTTTGGTGTTTTAATGGCTGGAGACGTCCCTTAGGTTCCCTCTATCATTTCATATGATTGCATCTATATTTAATCAGTTTTCACCATGTTCCTGGAAAGGCATTTAACCGGCTGCCAGCAGACTCCTCCTCCTGCTCCCCTGCACCATGAAGTCAGTTGGCAGAGCCCTTCATTCAGCCCCAGGGCTCGGTCACCCTCCCTGCATTCTCTGCTGGACAAGCCTGGCTTCTCCTCATGTGTTAACTCCTTGTTCTGAGAGGGGTTGCTACCTTTCAAAGCTTACCTACATAAAGTCACTCATACCCTTTTCATGCATAGGCTGACCAAGCCAAATATTTAAAAAGAAAAAAAATTCACAGAGGCTAGCACGGTTCAGGAAATAGAAGACCCTGAGTAGAAATGAAGTGAAACACAATGAATCCTGGCTGAGTCTGCAAATGGGATTGTGTTGCAGCAGGGAGACGCAGCCCCACAGAAAAGGAAAATCAATTTTCATTAATGATTTTGAATGTGCTATTGGCCTTGGGTTAATTATTTATTTGCATGAGGGTTTAGATTTATCTCACGGATATGCCAGATTATTTGAAAGGGTTTTAGTGTCTTTGACCTATGCTCAATGAATCCTCTTGACCCATATTTTATTTCACATGCAAAAACAGTAGGCAGTATATTGGTCATTTGTTTTCTAGTTTATTCATGATTTCAATCAACTAATAATTAATGAGGCTCTGTACTGGATGCTATTCTAGGTTCTGTGAATAAAACTATGAACAGAGCAGGCAATGTTCCTACCTTCATGGAGCTTAATATTCTAACAGTGGGAGGGACAGGTAAGCAACAAATAAAAAATGAATGTGAACCCTTGATAAGATGCAATGAAATGGCACTTTACCTCTGTGCTCTGTCTCCAAAACACCCACAGCTCCAGTCTAATCGTGAAAAAAAAAAATCAGACGAATTCCAATAGAGGAGCATCCCACTCCTCAAAAACGTCAAGGTCATCAAAACAAAGAAAGTCTGAGAAACTGTCACAGCCAAGAGGGGCCTAAGGAGCCAAGACAAGTACATGTAATATAGTATCCTGGGTGGGATTCTGGAAGAGAAAAGGACATTGGGTAAAAGCAAAGGAAATCTGAGTAAACTATGGGCTTTCATTAAATTTTTAAAAATGAATGTGTCAGATAGTGATCAATGAGGTAAGGAAAGTGAGAAGGAGGAGGTTAAGGAGCAACAGTGTCATGGGGGGCTGTCTCGGCCAGGGAAACTCACTGAGGAGCGGACAGCTGTGGTGCAACTTGAATGTTGGGAAGGCACCAATCTGCCAAGCAGGAAACTGCATCTGAGGAATGGGAACACATGGAAAAGGCCCTGAAGGAGGAATGAGCTGTTGTGTCCAAGAAACACACAGAGGTCTTGTGTGGACAGAACCTCGCAAGCAAGTGGGAGAATGGTACCAGACAGCACTGAAGACAGGGACTAAATCGTGAATGGTTTTCTAGGTCAGGCTAAGGAATTTAAATGTTATTCAAAGTCATTGGAGAGTTTTAAGCAGAGAAGTGGCATGATCTGATTTATCTTTGAAAAATATTACTCCAACTGCTGTGCTCAGAATAGATTGTATTAGTGGTTGTCTGAGGCTGGGGAGAGGAGAAAATGAGAAATGATCATTTACTGGATACGGGGTTTTGCGGGGGTGATGATAATGTCCTGGAAGTGGATAGTGGTGATGGTTGTGGAACGTTGGCAATATACTAATAACCACTGAATTATACACCTTAAAATGATTAAAATGGTAAATTTTATATTATGTAAATGTTGTCTTAATTTAGAAAAAGAACTGGCTGTAGAAGTTCAGGCAAGCATGAAGGGTGGTAGTTTAGCTGTGAGGCTATTGCTGTGATACAGGAGAGAATGATGGTGGCTTGGATTTGGGTGACAGCAGTAGGGATGGGAAGAAGTATTTGGATTCAGAGATATTTTGGAAGTAGAGCTGATAGGATGACTTTAGAGATGAGGTAAAGAGAGGAGGTTATTGAGGGAAATTAAGGGTGATGTTGGGACCATATAAAAACATGCCTGACTTTTTCCAGTTTATTTTAAGACATTTTAATGTGGATTTAATATGCTGGGTATTAGTACACTTTGGGCTATAAATAATACAAAGCCCCAACTCAAGCTGGCTTAAATAGTTGGAAATTTAAGTTGGATCTCACACAAGAATCAGTCCAGCAGTGGGCATGGGCTTTATGCTGGAGCAATCGGGAGCTTCGCATGTCATCAAGGGCCCAGGTTTGTGACATCCTCCCACTATGCCACCCTCAGTTTTGCCCTGACAACATGGTCTATGCTCATGGTTTCCAGATGGCAACAGCAGTTCTAGGTGTCACATACAAACAAAACTATGATGAAAGGAAGAAATGGCATCCCATCTAACGTATCCTTCTTAGAAGTGAAGAAAGTGGAAGATCCAGATGACTTCTCAGCATGTTACGTGTCTGTTTCTAAATTAATAGTCAGCATGGGAAATGGGTTTACCATGGTTGGCTTAAACTACCCAGGATTCATTCCCTATACCTGAGGCTGAGGTTCAGTTTTCCCTGAAGTACACAACAATGAGAGGATGATCAGCAGTTCCCTTAAGAAGGGCATAGGGATTGTATGCATGTTGGATAGGCAACTAACAGTATGTACTCCATGGTGGTGAACTAAACATTTTTTTTGTCCAAACATTTGTTCATTATAAATAGGGAGGAGTTGAGAGAATATAAGATATATTATTATATCACCAGAATTTTGTCTGATGGACTTTACTATCTTAAATCTTCATTAGAACTAAAGCCAGCTTGGTGACATGAGCCAGCTTTGGCTACTTGGGAGGCCAAGATGAGAGGATTGCTTGAGCCCAAGAGTTCAAGATCATCCTGAGCAACATAGTGAGACCCTCCCTCTTAAAAAAAAAAAAAAAAAAAAGAAAGAAAAACTAGAGAAAACACATTTTGAATACCACTGAACATTTTACAAGAACTTGAAGTGCCAAGAACCTGAAGTTCCTAGAAAGATTTAATAGAACAAGGAAAAAGTGGGACGTCAAAGGATGGTGTTTAATAATAGCTACCATCATTGCACATTTCTTATGTGTCTGACACTTTTCTACTTAACATAAATTATATCATTTAATTCCCACGATACCTTATAATGAGGTCTTATTAAGACATCTTTACTTTACAAGTGAGGAAATGGAGGTTTAGAAAGTTTAAGGCAAATTGCCAATGTCACAGACAGTAGAGCCAGGACTTGAACCCAGACAGTCTGGCTCCAAAGCGTGCAAGCCTAATCTCTATGCTTCCTACACACTGTGTTCAATCTAGACTTGAAAATTTAAACTTTATAGCAATATTTCTCAAATCAGCAACTCCCCCTTTTGAAAAAACAAAAATGTCCTGCTATCCTCAAAGAGATTTTGATTACTTATCTTTATGTGTGAAATCAATAGGCATTTTCTTTCCTTTTTCATATGTAAAATCGCATCATGAAATTGACTTGCATTTTCAAACTTTCCCCCTTTCCCAGATATTCTGATATGCCTAGACCCCAAAGTAAGTGATCTTCTGGAGTGCAAATCACTCTTCTGGAGCATTTGGAGGGATGCCAAAGGTTTGAGGTTCCAGTGGAATTCTGGTCCTGATGGCGTTCTGGCCCCAGTGACCTGTACTGGCTGTCTGTATAGTACCAATGCAAGCTAGATCGTTGCTCAACCTTGCACGAAACTTTAGCTGAATAGGTCTGGTTTTGGGGTCAATGAACTGCTGGAGCTGACTTTCCGTTGTGTAAGGGAGGTCACGCCAGTAAGATTCTCATTTGTTAAGTGGGAAAAACACATAACATGTAACATTCCCCCCAAATAAATGGGATTAATTATGGGTCAACTACCATTTGGAAATAGAGTTTTATTTCTCAGAAAATCACCCCCAAAGGATAGAAAATACATTTTTATTTTCTGCAAGACGACAGGTGAGATGGAAAGAGTACTTTTGTTTGTTCCTTCCCTCTCTTTTTGCATAATTATTTCTTCAGGGCAAGGAGCACATTGCTAATAGTCAGCACTTGTGTGGAGTTGAATCATAAATACGACAGATAAGACATGCAGTATTAGATTGGTGAGTTTCCCCCACTCAGTGTAGAAGAACCACATGTACCCACAGGACTGACCCCTGCCTCGAGATCAGCAATTTTTCTGTGTCCCAGTTAAAGATCATTCAGAATTGCCATCCAGCCTGCAAATGTCAAGGGGGGCAGTAAATATTAATATCATGGCTGCTCGTCAGCCTCCACAGACTGGGACTCAGCACAAGCCCCTGTCAGGCAGAGATGACACCATTGCAGTCACATATTCGAAACCCAGTGTCATCATTTCTCCCACCAGCTCCCCCAACCTCCACAGAACTGTGGATCACTGTCGGCTGTGTAGGGCTCTGGGCAGAGTCATTGTGCTAATAAAAGAATAAGGGCGGCCAGGCGTGGTAGCTCATGCCTGTAATCTCAGCACTTTGGGAGGCCAAGGCGGGTGGATCACTTGAGGCCAGGAGTTCAAGACCAGACTGGCCAACATGGTGAAACCCTATCTCTACTAAAAATACAAAAAATTAGCTGAGTGTGGTGGCAGGCACCTGTAGTCCCAGCTACTCGGTGGCTGAGGCAGGAGAATAGCCTGAACCCAGGAGGTGGAGGCTGCAGTGAACCCGAGATCACACCACTGCACTCCAGCCTGGGCAACAGAGTGAGACTCTGTCCCAAAAAAAAAAAAAAAAAAATTATGCCAGTATCTGGAGATTGAGTTCTTGTTTCTGACAACAGTGCTGCACTACATATGAATTATTGCTTCATTTTGTCACTTTAAATGCTATCTCTAAGTCAGATTATGGAGAATTAAATGAGTTGATGTAACTGTTTTGAACGCTGCTTGGCACATATGGGCAGTATGTGAGTATCCACTGTATCGTTGCTGTTACCACCGCTGTCATTAGGCCAAGAACTTGGACAGTAACACAAGACTATTTGTCAAGCATCTCTGAATGGCGCCTGTCAATGGAAGCTATTCCAGATTCTCTCTTGGCTATCGGGTCCTCTCAGGAAGCATCCGCCATTTCCTTCAGCTCTCTCCTGAGGTAAGCTGTGCACCCATGGGTATTTTAGAAGAATGATGTTTATCCAGCCTTATTGCAATAGGACTGTTCTTGTAAAAAGAAAAAATAAAATAAAATAGAAAACATATTTATCCAGCTTTGGCCACCCGAGTAAAACATTAGCTGTCACATTCCCCTTTTCCCTTCTGAGCAAAGGCAGTCTGGCTGTTTTCCTCCTTGGTCATCCTGTCTAATTGGCAAGGAATCATGGGAATTTCCGCAGTTTGCTTTGTGGAAGTTTTCCAGCTTTAATGTTTGTCAAACTATCAGCACAGGGCGAAGGCTGCCAGACTCAGCTGGAGCAGTAGCATGAGCTCTGAAGGGCCCTCACCTGGACACAGGTCCAGGCTCTTTGCTCTGGCCAAATTCGTGACCTTGAGCAAGTTGCTTCACCTCTTCTATCCTTAGTTTTATCTTCAGTTTACCCATGTAAAATGGAGGGAACAGCAATTTATAGGATTGTAGTGAGATTTAGGAGTAATGTCTGTAATACACATAGTACACTAGCCTGGCAAATAGTGGGCGCTCAATAATGGAGATGTTATAATCTCTTTTCAGCTTTTATACCTTTAAGTTTCTAAAAATGTTGCATTCAGACATTCATACACACACACACACACACACACACGTTAAAATATGAACAGGAAGAAAAGCAAAAGGAAAATATCAACATATTAATAATGACTAGTTTCAGATGAACCACTGTACAAACAAAAAATAAAATAAACTTTAAAAAATAACTGCAGGGTCATAATAATTTTTAGCATCCAGGTAATAACTAATAAATGTATTCATCTCATGTTCCCCTCTTCTCCTGACCAGATGTGAGCATGGTTAGGCTTTTGTTTGAAGTATTTACACCTTTGATCTTGACATTTTTATAATTCATATATATGTGCCTAAAGAAGACTGTATTGCTTTATGTGTTTCCTCTAAAAGTATTATCTCTTATGTGTCATTCTGTATCTTGCTTTTTTCATGTAACACGATGTTTTTGAAATCTCATCATGCTGCTACAAGTGTATCTAATTAATTCCTTCTAATTGTTATATTGTATTATATGAATATACCATAATTTGTTTATTCCACTTTTGATGGGCATTTAGGCTATTTTAATTTTTTCACTCTTACAAGCAATGCCACAATGAATAGTCTTGCATGTCTCTCTCCAGTGCACATCGGTGTTTTTTTTCAGAAAGAACTCTTAGAATCTCTTGGAAGATTGTGCATGTGTTAAGCTGTAATAAACACTATCAATTGCCCTTCAAAACGACTATCCTTGTTCTCTAGAACTTTGCTCACACTTAATTGAATCAAGCTTTAAAGTGTTCTCCAATCTGATGGATAAAGAATCATACTGCTTGAAGTTTTTTATTTTGAAATAATTATTGATTAATAGGAAGTTCAAAGATAGTACAGAGAGGTCCCTTGCCCCTTTTACTCAGTTTCTTTCAATGGCTACATCTAATATAATTATAGTACAATATCACACCAGAAAATCGACATTGGTATACAGTATGTATAGTTCTATGTCATTTTACTATACACGCAGATCCATGGAAACATAACCATAATTAAGATATGGAACTATCTCATCCCCCCAAAGATCTCCCTCTTGCTACCCCTTGATAGGCAGACCTGCCCGTCCCCACCAACTCTAACTACTTATCTGTTCTCCATCCCTATAATTGTGTCATTTTCATATGATTATATAAACACAATCAGACAGTGTGTGACCTTTGGAGACTGTTTTTTTTCACTCAGAATAATACCCTTGAGATCCAGCTAAGGTGTTGCATTTACCGATATTTTTTTCCCCTTTATTGCTGAGTTAAATCAGCAATAAATCATGGTAGGCATTACTGCAGTTTGTCCAATCCTTCACCTATCATAGGGCATTTTGGTTGTTTCCAGTTTGGAGATATCACAAATAAAGCTGCTATGAGCACCATGTGCAGGTTTTTGTGGGAACACAAGTTTTTGTTTCTCTGGGAAATGCCAGGGGTGCAGTGAGGGCTAGGTCACATCATAAGCATATGTTTAGTTTTTTAAGAAACGGGCACACCATTTTCCAGAGTGGTTGTATCATTTTATATTCCCTCCAGTGATGTGTGAGAGATCAATTTCTCCACATTTTTGCCACCATTTGGTGTTGCCACTAAGTCTTATTTTAGCTGTTCTAATTAGTGTGTGGTGGTATTGTTTGCTGGTCTTAATTCACATTTCCCTAAATGCCAGTGATGCTGAACAACTTTTCATGAGCTTATTTGCCATCTGTATGTCTACTTTGTAAAGTGTCTTTTCATATCTTTTGCTCATTTTATAATTGGATTGTTCGTGTTTCTTTTACAGTTGATATTTGAATGTCCTTTATAAATCTGTGTATTCTAGATATGAGTCCTTACATAGCGGGTGAGAGTTCAGGCTCCCCAAGTGGTCCTGATGAAGGACATGAAAGTGGTTCATTACCACCAGGAGGGGACAAAGTCCAGACCAGACTCCTCCCTTGGCCTTCTCTGACATCACCTCAACAAGGTGTATTAGTCTGTTCTGACACTGCTAATAAACATACCTGAGACTGGGTAATTTATAAAGGAAAGAGGATTAATTGACTCACAGTTCAGCATTGATGGAGAGGCCTCAGGAAACTTACAATCATGGTGGAAGAGAAAGCAAACACATCCCTCTTCACATGGCAGCAGGAAGGAGAAGTGCTGAGCAAAGGGCAAAAGCCCCTTATAAAACCATCAGATCTCATGAGAACTCACTTTCACAAAAACAGCATGGGAGTAACTGCCCCCATGATCCAGTCACCTCCCACTGGATCCCTCCATTGGGGACTACAGTGCAAGATGATATTTGAATGGGGACACAAACAATCATATCACGGGGGAAGGGTTGTGGGGAAGCAAGGGGTGCTCAGTAGAGCTTGTCCAGAGTGGAAGTTTAAGTTACCCTCTTGCACTTTGCTGGTAGAGATGGAGTGGGCCACAGTTTTTTTCTGTGGTGTCTGCTGGGAAAGATCAGTTCATGCCTAAGAGTTTTCTGTCTTGCTAGCCTGCCCCTCTTATGGGCTTTTGACCAGAGAGACAGGCTTTCCCTGCTCTGTGTCTATGGCATTTACTGGTTGCCCACTTCTTTAGCATCTCGTCTTTGGGACAAAAATAAAACCCACGGAACTCACCACCATATTGTTTCTTGGGTTTTGAGATCTCTAGCTGGTCTACCTTCTTCTCTCCACTGTTCAGTCTTCTCATGTTGTTTTATATCTACTGTCCAGGGTTTTTAGCTGTACTTAGCAGGAGAAATGGGGGGAAATACTTCTACTTCATCTTTCCAGAAGTAGAATGCATACCCTATTGTTCTAATTTGCTTTTTTTTAATTAGTGAAGTTGAGTATCATTTTATCTGTTCACTGGACATTTTATTTCCCTCCTCTAGAATTGCCTGTCTCTTCGTACATACTTTTGTCTACTGTTTCTACTCAATTAACTATATTTTTATTAATGATTTGTAGTTCTTTTGTTTTTTCTTTTGAGACAAAGTCTTGCTCTGTTGCCCAGGCTGGAGTGCAGTGGTGCAATCTCAGCTGACTGCAACCTCCACCTCCCAGGTTCAAGAGATTCTCCTACCTCAACCTCTTGGGTAGCTGGGATTACAAGCGTCCACCACCACACCTGGCTCATTTTTGTAATTTTAGTAGAGTCGGGGATTCACCATGTTGGTCAGGCTGGCCTTGAACTCCTGACTTCAAGTGATCCTCTTGCCTTGGCCTCCCAAGGTGCTGGGATTATAGACATGAGCCACCGCACCCAGCCTAGTTCTTTATATATTCTGAATATTATTCCTTTGTCAATTTATATGTTGCATATATTTTCCAAATCTGTTACTTATTTTGCTTATAACGGTTTTGTCACCCAGAGGCCTTTAAATTCTAATGCAGTCAGCTTGTTGTCTTTTAATAATGAAAATATAAGAACTATACAAATATGCGGGCGGAAGATGGCAAAGGGAGCTGGTGCTTGTGCAAGTTGTTGAGGTGTGCTCTGTGGAATGATGGCTGTCACAGACACTGTCAAGCAGGAGGTTGCCCTGGCTGTGCACATGCTGCAAAGCATGCATGTGAACGTGATTCTGATCACGGGGGACAACTGGAAGACAGTCAGAGCCTTTGCCACCCAGGTTGGCATCAACAAAGTCTTTGCAGAGGTGTTGCCTTCACACAAGGTGACCAAGGTTCAGGAGCTCCTGAATGAAGGGAAGAAAGTCGCCATGGTGGGGGACGGGGTCAATGATTCCCTGGCCTTGGCCCAGGCAGACTTGGGCATTGCCACTGGCACTGGCACGGATGTGGTCATCGAGGCAGCCAACGTCATCCTCATCAAAAATGATTTGCTGGATGTGGTGGCTAGCATTCATATTTCCAAGATGACTGTCCAGAGGATATGCATCAAACTGGTCCTGGCGCTGATTTATAACCTAGTGGGCATACCCATTGCTGCAGGAGCAAGCTTTCCAGATGAGTTGAAGATATGTGCATGGGCGGGAGATGATGACTTATTGCAGGGCAAGGCGTCATCCGTGTTGAAGGAGTGCCAGTGTTTCAGAAATGGACACAGAGCAGGTAAGTTTGATGGACAGGTAAGAGAATCACTCTCTATGTGCCAGCACTGTTCTAAGAGTCCTGGATCTTCTGGGGATGAGATTAGCGTTTTTCAGTTGTACATGGGACAGCTGAGGCTCATGCTAGGGAGTGGTGAGCCCTTTCCTGGAAGAAGTTAATCTAAAAAGCATAATCTGTCTCATTTGGGAGGAGCTAAATAAATATCTCTTCAATGAAGCAAAGGTCAATCAGAAAATTTGTATTTTAGCTATAAAATTACCTATCAGAATTTACCATAGGGCATAATCTTAGTCAAGCACCCAAATTCATTATTTCAGCCACAGATACTGAAACACCAAAGGGATAAGGGGGCAGGTATTTCAGTTAGCTACTGCTGCATAACAAATGACCCCAAAGCTTAGTGACTTAAAACAATGATTTGTTATTCCTTATCATTCTGTCAGCTGGGAGGTTCTTCTGCCCGCCCCACCTGGGGTCATGCACAAGGCTACATTTAGCTAGGGTGTCAGCTTGGGATGGGCATAGCTGGGATGCTGGGTCACCTGAGTCTTTCTCACCATGTGGTACTGTTTTAAAATATAGGTTTTAGCGCTTCCTCAGGATGTAAAGTGTAACAAAGGTACCGGGGTGGGCAGTGTGGGTCTGTGAGGCCTACGGGTGCCCGCGTCCCCTAACTCCCCCCGCAGCCGGCTCCGCAGTGGTACGCTCCGGTTGCCCGTTAGGGATTCAGGTTCCAAACGGAATGCTGCGTCTTCTCCAGCGTTTGTTGTGGCCGAGGTTACTGCAGCAACCGCCAGAGCAGCCTTGGCGCTACGGAGGAGCCTAGGGCTAACCCTCAGCCATACCTGGGGCTGGTCCTGGAGTTGCTACGCAGGGTTGTGGCAGCACTGACTGAAGGTATGAGACCCGATTCTCATCCTTATGGTTTTCCATGGGAATTGGTGATACGTGCAGCTGTTGCTGGATTTTTTGCTGTTCTCTTCTTGTGGAGAAGTTTTAGATCAGTTACGAGTCGGCTTTATGTGAGAAGAGAGAAAAAGTTTGCTGTGGCACTTTCTGGACTAATTGAAGAAAAATGTAAACTACTTGAAAAATTTAGCCTTGTTCAAAAAGAGTATGAAGGCTATGAAGTAGAGTCATCTTTAAAGAATGCCAGCTTTGAGAAGGAGGCAACAGAAGCACAAAGTTTGGAGGCAACCTGCGAAAAGCTGAACAGGTTCAATTCTGAACTTGTGCATGAAATACTCTGTCTAGAAAAAGAGTTAAAAGAAGAGAAATCTAAACATTCTGAACAAAATGAATTGATGGCGGATATTTCCAAAAGGATACAGTCGCTAGAAGATGAGTCAAAATCCCTCAAATCACAAGTAGCTGAAGCCAAAATGACCTTCAAGAGATTTCAAGCGAATGAAGAACGGTTGGAGATAGAAATACAAGATGCTTGGAAAGAAAATTCTGAACTTCAGGAAAGCCAGAAACAGCTTTTGCAAGAAGCTGAAGTATGGAAAGAACAAGTGAGTGAACTTATTAAACAGAAAAGAACATTTGAAGACTCCAAAGTACATGCAGAACAAGTTCTAAATGATAAAGAAAATCACATCAAGACTCTGACTGAACGCTTGCTAAAGATGAAAGATGGGGTTGCTATGCTTGAAGAAGATGTAACGGATGATGATAACTTGGAATTAGAAATGAACAGTGAATCGGAAGATGGTGCTTACTTAGATAATCCTCCAAAAGGAGCTTTGAAGAAACTGATTCATGCTGCTAAGTTAAATGCTTCCTTAAAAACCTTAGAAGGAGAAAGAAACCAAATTTATATTCAATTATCTGAAGTTGATAAAACAAAGGAAGAGCTTACAGAGCATATTAAAAATCTTCAGACTGAACAAGCATCTTTGCAGTCAGAAAACACACATTTTGAAAGTGAGAATCAGAAGCTTCAGCAGAAACTTAAAGTAATGACTGAATTATATCAAGAAAATGAAATGAAACTCTACAGGAAATTAATAGTAGAGGAAAAATGCCGGTTAGAGAAAGAAGAGAAACTTTCTAAAGTAGACGAAATGATCAGCCATGCCACTGAAGAGCTGGAGACCTACCGAAAGCGAGCCAAAGATCTTAAAGAATTTGAGAAAACTATTCATTTTTATCAAAAGAAGATTATTCTCCATGAGAAAAAAGCACATGATAATTGGTCGGCAGCTTGGACTGCTGAAAGAAACCTCAATGATTTAAGGAAAGAAAATGCTCACAACAGACAAAAATTAACTGAAATAGAGTTTAAAATAAAACTTTTAGAAAAAGATCCTTATGGACTTGATGTTCCAAATACAGCATTTGGCAGACAGCATTCCCCATATGGTCCCTCACCATTGGGTTGGCCTTCATCTGAAACGAGAGCTTCTCTCTATCCTCCAACTTTGTTGGAAGGTCCTCTCAGACTCTCACCTTTGCTTCCACGGGGAGGAGGAAGAGGCTCCAGAGGCCCAGGGAATCCTCCGGACCATCAGATTACCAAAGAAAGAGGAGAATCAAGCTGTGATAGGTTAACTGATCCTCACAGGGCTCCTTCTGACGCTGGGCCCCTGGCACCTCCGTGGGAACAGGACTATAGGATGATGTTTCCTCCACCAGGACAATCATATCCTGATTCAGCTCTCCCTCCACAAAGGCAAGACAGATTTTATTCTAATTGTGCTAGACTCTCTGGACCAGCAGAACTCAGAAGTTTTAATATGCCTTCTTTGGATAAAATGGATGGGTCAATGCCTTCAGAAATGGAATCCAGTAGAAATGATACCAAAGATAATCTTGGTAATTTAAAGGTGCCTGATTCATCTCTCCCCGCTGAAAATGAAGCAACTGGCCCTGGCTTTGTTCCTCCACCTCTTGCTCCAATCAGAGGTTTATTGTTTCCAGTAGATACAAGGGGCCCGTTCATAAGAAGAGGACCTCCTTTCCCCCCACCTCCTCCAGGAACCGTGTTTGGAGCTTCTCCAGATTATTTTTCTCCAAGGGATGTCCCAGGTCCACCACGTGCTCCATTTGCAATGAGAAATGTCTATTTACCGAGAGGTTTTCTTCCTTACCGTCCCCCAAGACCTGCATTTTTCCCCCCAGCCCCCACATTCTGAAGGTAGAATGAGTTTCCATCAGGGTTGAGTCCGACTTCAAATGAGCCTGCTGCTGAACATCCAGAACGACAGCAAGAAACCTAACAACATGTTTGCCCTCTTCAAAAGTAATTTTGACTGATCTCATTTTCAGTTTAAGTAACTGCTGTTACTTAAGTGATTACACTTTTGTTCAGATTGAAACTTAATGGAACTATAATTCCCAGGATAGTATTTTGTAAATGAGGATGATTTAAATATGAATCTTATGAGTAAATTATTTCATTTTATTTTATTCTAGATAGTATAACTTTTAATTTGATTAATCCACTATTATATAAAGAATGGTGGGAGCTTTATATATGTAATCTTGCAGGTGGGGAGGCTTTAAATTGTCTTTATGTCAAGAACTGTATTTACTGTGGTTGTAGACAAATGTGAAAGTAACTTTATGCTTAAATAAGTTTTAGTTGATTAAAAAAATTTAAAAAATTTAAAAAAAGAAATATATAAATATGCACAGGTGGGAAGGTAGAATACTATGTAACTGTTAGAATATTTCACTTTAAACCAAGATGATCTTGGATCTCCTGTCTTATAGATTTTATATCCTCTTTCAGTACTTTGAGAGTGTAAAACATTTATAGCAGAAAGTATTCGTGTTTCCTCTGTTTTCCTCAAGAATGGTTTCTTCGCCCTCCCTTTCCTTCCCTTCGTCTTCCCTAAGCTAATTTCTTCCTATGTTTGTCATCATATCATTACATAATTGTGTTGTTATTTCTTTTGTTTTATTTTTATTTGGTGGGAACAACTTTATCCAGAACTTTTACTTGCCCCAGAATTATATAGATCAGTTTCTCCTGACTTCTTTCCCAACCTTTACCTCTGTTGGTGTTCTAATAGTTTTAGTTTTATGTTCTGCTTTTCTCTTGCTGTGGCAAGGGGAAGGAGTAAATCTAAGATAGTGCTTAATTGCAGTTGGTGAATTTGATCTCTGATTGAGCTCTCTTCTCTGGAATTCTGTTAAAAGATGAAATGTATCGTGTTCCCTGAGAGACGCCCTCAAATTTTGGATTAGTCCTTCATGCAAGCTGGGCCACCAAGCCATTGCTTCTTTTGGGGACAACCTGCCCTCACTTTTAAAAAGCATCCTAGCTCACATGCCTCCCCTAGCAGTTAATGCCACTCCAGTCTCTGCTTGAATGTAATAAAATAAAAGAAAAGTAACTATTTGAGACATGAGGTGCCC
The DNA here is from genome assembly GCF_000001405.40 of Homo sapiens. Lineage (NCBI taxonomy): Eukaryota > Metazoa > Chordata > Mammalia > Primates > Hominidae > Homo > Homo sapiens. Next base: position 25,666 of record NW_014040928.1, on the reverse strand, counting down.
TTATTGTACACTGGGGCTTCCTATACATTTTCCGTCTTCCCTTGAACCACCACTATCCTCAGCTACTTTATGCTTCTGTTCTGTTAAAGCCCTATTTGCTAGTGGAAAAATTTAACTCCTGGTGATTTTTTTAATACTAGGCCTCTTGCCTTCCTTCCAGTGAGAGAAAAATAGAATGGTAAGCCTAGTGGTTTCTTCCTTCACTGTTGAATACTATTTATCCAAGGTATCAAGGAAGAACTTCTAATCAGAAAAGACATGTATTATTTTCACAACTGGGTAGCATATCTCACTCCCAGAATGGAAGTTAGGTGGGAATTGCAAGATTAAGGAGATTTTTCTGGATTTCTGTCTATGTATCATATCCACAGAACTCTTTCTAGAGGAATTTTATATTGAGCCAGGCATCCATTTCCACAGTCTTGCATTTCTAGATACTTCCAAAGTTATAGCACTGTTCCTAAATCATTTTTGGCTTTATTTATTAATTTATTGTTCACTTCATTTCATTAGGTTCAGTATGAAACAGGTATTGTCATCTCTTTGTGTCTACTTTGCCACCTTTCCCCAGAATAGGCCTGAATGAGATTGAAAACGTTACTTCAGTTCCTTGTGTCTGACATTGCTTGTTTGTAACTAAGAAAAATAATATTTGCTTTTGTTGAATGACTACTAATTTTTTTCCATGAACCTAATAAACTAAAAAGAAAGTTGAAATAATAAAGAGTGAATAAGTATAAAAATCCATGTTGAGTCAATCTTCCTTCAGAAACTTTTTCCTCAAACTCTCTTACCAAATTTGAGGTAACACATTACCTATGAACCGGGTTGGCAGTCCTCGCCAATCGTTAATTTTGTTTTCCTTTCTTCCCTCCCTCTTTCTTTCTTTCCTTCTTTCCTTCTCTGTCTCTCTCTTTCTTCTTTCAGGGGAAGTATCTCTGCATGGAGATCTCATTTCTAAAGGTGTGGAGGGATAACAGGGTGGCTTTCACTAAGATACAAGTTGACTTAAACCAACTGAGCTGCCCGATCTTACTAACATTCTGTATCCATTCTCTCCTCTGCAGTTTTAGAATAGCAGCCTGTGTCCACTGTATCCTTACCAAGTCCCATTCCTTCCCCCGGTTGACTTCTACTAGTCCTGAAGCTACCAGTTAAAATATCATTTGATGATTTCTCTGGGAAGCCTGTCTTACTCTCCAAGACTGGATGAGGTGCCTCCCATGTGAACCCTCTCCCATAACATACTGTCTCTACCCTTATCTGCAGTGATCAGCCTGTATGGTGATGAACTATATCTTTTTATTTCCTGTTGGATAGTAAGCCAGAAGGGCACGGACTAAGCACCCAGTTCAGTCCTTTGCACATCATTGCCCTTCAATGAATATGTGTTTCATGACTAAATTTTTTAAAACTTAATAATATTTCCAAAGTTTTTAAGGCATTTTGAAGCTCAAAATAGTGGTCAAGTTGGTTCTCATCACCTCATCTTTTGTGGTTTATTGAAAGGAGTGCATACATGCTCTCAATTCACAAACGTATGATTGTGTGGACCAAATTTTTAACAGAATTTGGCAAAACACCAGAGCTAGCTTACATTCTTAAGCAGCTGAGCAGCCACAGGTTTCATCACACTATTATTAATGGCTTTATTTTCCCATCACTGTTGCACCATTATGCCCTTTGCAGAATTAATCAAAGGCACAATCTCTGCCCTGAGGCTTTGGATTTTATCATTCCACTGCCTGAAGTCATCCATCTGAGAAGCCAGGTAATACACTCCTACCTCTGAAGGGTGTTGAACATCAATTAATGCTCAGCTGTCTTCAATATGAAGATTGCATTCAAATGAACATGTCCCTCATCTGTTCTATTAATAATTACACCCCATGTTTGAGCGAGGTGGCTAAGACCACAGAGCATTAGGATTTGCAAGGATTTTGCGTGCAGTGCAAAGCTTGTTGTCTCTAAATGTAAAGTATCAATAGGAGGCATTAAAATGTCAGCACCTTTTCAGGAATTTTGCTCATGAAAACGACTGCAAAAGAGTCCTCTGAATACATCACTGTAGACCAAGTTATAGTCTAAGCATTAGATCAGCTAGGAGCCTCCAGAGAGTTCCTGAAGTGTGAGGAACAAGTGTTTTAAATGGTGGGGTGACATGGTGGGAGGGGGTCCTGGGAGAATCTGAATTTGCCGGACACTTCCATCCCCCAACTTGGCAGTCGATCAACTTGACACTTCCCGGCTCTAATTTTCTTCCTCCTCATTTTTATTTCACGGCATTCCCAATTATGCAGCTGCCAGGAAAGGAAGCAATGGAATTTCAATATAGAAAAGACCAGGCCACTTCTTTTCGGACTAGACACTTATGCACAAAGAGCCAGTGGGTCACATCTTCTGCTGGTTCGGAGATGCTTCCAGGACAACCAAGCAAGGTCGAGCGACAACATCAGCCTCTTTGGCTTCGCTCTTTCCTTAGCAGCCACACGATTTCTCAGCTGCCCAGGGGATCATCTGTAATAGGCCATTTTATTTGGTAAATGTTTCCCTACTTACTGAAGACTGTTCATTATTAATGACCAGAAAGGGAACTCCTGCCTCCCATGGCAGAAGTTGATACATTTGCTTTGTATAATTGCTGTGTATAGTTAGCCATGTGGTTGTGCAGCTGAAATAAATTGCCTTCTTCCCATAAGAGCCTCCCTGAGTGTCACAGGAGAGCTAGAAGGAAGCTGGCCACAGAGACTAATCTCTTCGCTAACGCCGTAGACGATTCCAGAAGCTGAAGACAGATGGCAAGTTTGAGATGAATAGCATTTTTTAATGGCTTCAAAATAGCTCTGTCTGTAAACAGCTTTTCTGAATGACAGCACGTAGTACAATTTAATTTATCTATTGCTGCTGTTGTTAGATCTTCTGAGAACTTTCCCCCAGTCCCTCTATTAGAACAAACACTAATCTCACTTCAAAGGGGGAAAATCTAGAATGGTAGGAGGCAAGTGGAACGAAAGGGTAAGAAGAATTTCAACCTACAAATAAATGACAGGTATCCTCCAAACAGTGTCTTGTAGCCTGGAACTTGAAGAAAGTAACTCCGTGTTGAGATTTAAGAGCAGAAGTTGAACTCTGAACTCTGAAATGAAATAGGCCCAAAGACTAGGAGAAAAGGTCATGATAAGACAGCACACCTTGGTCTGTTTCTGATTAGTAAGAATTCACATCCCACCAATGAGATTAATCCTTCGTCATTCATGTAATTGGTTTGGGAAATGCTACTATGGGCGAGAACACGGGTATTCTTTATAGGCTAGCAGGGGAAAAAATGAGTATAAAAGGTAATCGGAGGCAGGCGTGGTGGCTCATACTTGTAATCTCAGCACTTTGGGAGGCCAAGGCAGGTGGATCACTTGAGGTCAGGAGTTGGAGACTAGCTGGGGCAACATGGTGAAACCCCGTCCCTGCTGAAAAAAATACAAAAAAATTAGCTGGTCATGGTGGTGCACCTGTAGTCTCAGCTACTCAGGAGGTTAAGGCACAAGAAGTGCTTGAATCCAGGAGGTGGAGGTTGCAGTGAGCTGAAATCATGCCACTGCACTCCAGCCTGGGTGACAGACGGAGACTCTGCCTCAGAAAAAAAAAAAAAAAAAAAGGAATCAGTGCTAATAATTAAGTGAAGAAATAAGTTCGTACCTCTAATTTCCAATTTCCAATTTCTACAAATGTCTATTAAAACGGCATGTTTCCCATAAGAAGCCACTTTAAAGGGGCATAGTAGAGTAGTTAATAGAAAATGCTAGCATTTCTTACAAAGTAGTAGATGTAATAAGCCTAAAATTAAGAGTGAGAATTAAACAGAGGGGAAGTTCAATAGGAATAATGATTTTACGTTCAATAAAAATAGTCACAAACCAGTTACAGAAAAAGACCATGGTCAGACTTTTTCCTTCTATTCTGATATTGGAGGTGAAATGATGTAAAAAGCTACTCTTTCTTATTCTGTATTGCATCATTCTTTCAAAACACACACAAGTGCTAGCAGTTGGTGACCACTTAAAATTTATGCTTGTTTTAATAAAGCATTATAGTTGCATTGGAATGACGCTCTCGGTCTCTGAAATCTGAAATAAACCTGGCTTGTTTTCCCATATTGTTCATTCAGCTTTACAGATATTTATTAATTGCCTGCAATGTCCAAAGCATTTGTAACAATGACCACACTTTACGAGCCCCAAAGTGGGTCAACAGTACTTATTTGCATAGTAGGATGAAATATTTAAAATTGAGACTGTCTCCAAAATTCAAACTAAAAGCTTGGTGCCAAGAGCTGAAAGGAAAAATAAGAAAGTTACTCAAAAGTTTATGTGCAGAGGAATTAAATGCACACACACACAATATTCAGTTGCTGCAAAAGTAATTGAGGTTTTTGCTATTAAAAATAGTGGATGGCAAAGTAAGGCAGGTGACTCAAGAAGGCACAACCAGCACTGTGTGGCCATCATGTATCCAGAGTCCCAGGTCCACCACTTGCTGCTCTTGTGACTCTGAGCAGGTCCTGGGACCTCTGTGAAGCCTGGTTTGGAGAGAATACTATCCAGTCAACAGGTGTATTGTGGGGAACCTGGAACTGTGTCTGTCACATAAGAGCTAGTCTAAAAAAATGTTTTAAGTACCCTGTGTATTCAAAAGAGGAAGTCGCATTAGCCTGGGGAAAGCTAAACAGGAAAGGATCCATTCTTTTTTGAAGGTGGTACATGAGAGCTCTTAGGGGTAAGTTTTCTGTGGCTTGAGGCTATGCTGGGGAGCTAGGAGCTTTGTCTGTCTAGAGAAGGGAAAGAATCAGTAAAGCTTCCAATTCTCCTACACCATTAGAAGTTCTGGGGACAAGCACCTGCACAGTGGAGGAAATTAGTTGGGAAGATAAAGAGAAGAGAGCCAAGAACAAAAGTTTGGGCAATGCTGACATTTAAAGGGGGAAGTATAGGCAGCAAAGATGGAGAGAAAGTGGTCTGAGAATTTGGAGGAAAACCAGAAGTGACAGTGTCACAGGAGCCAAGCGACGAAAGAGTGCCAAAACGGAGCAGTGGTGTCCAAAGCTTCAGCGAGATGGATGGGAAGGAAAACCAAGAGGAGGTCAATGAGTTCAGCAGTTATGGGGTCAATGGTGGTATGGTGGTCTGTGACAGTAACCCTATAATGACGTTCACCATGGTACTAGACGTGTGTCTCTTAAAGAGGTTGGGTTCATTATGTTGTATTCTGAAGGCCACGGCCAATTCAGTCCATGGATCAAGGCCTTACTCATGTCTCTCAGGAACAGGGTGGACATCAGGATGTCAGGAAAGCTGGATTTTCTGTGAAGACATTCCTACTCAAAAGGTAAGCAGGAGGCAAATCTCTCTGGGTCTCACTTTCTTGAATCTGGACTTCCAGAGTTTAAAAAGAACTTGAAGAAGCTCCAATATAGGAGGAAAGATGTTCTCTGCCACAGGGAACAGGGCAGGGAAGCATCCTCATACTGAATGCTGTAGGAGAAAGCCCTACTTTGTTGGGTGGTATATTCGTCCATTCTCACACAGCTAATAAGGACATACCCAAGACTGGGTAATTTATAAAGGAAAGAGGGTTAATGAACTCACAGTTCCACATGGCTGGGGAGGCCTCACAATCATGGCAGAAGGCAAAGGAGGAGCAAAGTCACATCTTACATGGCAGCAGGCAAGAGAGAGCATATGCAAGGGGAACTGCCCTTTATAAAGCCATTAGATCTCATGAAACTTTTTCACTATCATGAGAACATCATGAGAAAAACCCACCCCCATGGTTCAATTATCTCCCACCAGGTCACTCCCATGACACGTGAGGATTATGGGAGCTACAATTCAAGATGAGATTTGGGTGAGGACACAGCCAAACCATATCAAGTGGATAATTTGGTTTCAGGTTGTTTCTTCAATTTGTTTACCCCAAATCTTCAGTCTCATTTAAAGGGTTCTGACTGGTCTTAGTTGTGCCGGAAGGTAATTAACAAAAAGTGTCTGGCCTCAAATAGACTGAGGTGTTAAAGAGGGCACAGCTCCTCTTGAGGCCCATGTGGGGATGACACCCTCTAGGACAGGAAACCAGAGCCCAGGGGAGGCTAGAAACAGGAGAAACCAACAATCAGAGGCACAGGGTTTAGAGATGAAGAGAAGGTGAGAGGCAGCAACAATTTTATTCCTTCCTCCCTGAATCAACGCTTATGCACACTGCAGATGAGGAAGAGCGTGGGGAGTAATTAGGGCTGTGGGTTTATCATGGAGTAAGGCACTGCTGCTACTTGCAAGGAACCTAAGAAAGTAACAGGGTTTAGAGACACCCTTGGGTGCCTGGAGAAGTGGCATGTTTGTAAACAGGGCAGAGGGTTCTGTAAGTGAGTGAAGGGGAGCATACAAGACATGGAGAGGCTGGGGGAGGTGCTGGGAGAAGTGAGGTCCAAGGCTTAGGTGAGTTGTCACCCTTGCAGATTCCTCTTTTGCAGCAGAAGGAGACACACACACAAAGAATATCAGTGATTTTTGAGGAAGAGAAAGGAGAAGCAGTGAAAATCAGATGGCAGTGGCCCTTTATGCAAAATAGAAAGTGAGATCTGTGGAAGGCAGGGCCAGGGTGGAGAGCTGTGAGCGCAGTTTGGAAAAGTAGGAAGGAAAGGGGCGCCACGAAGTCCTGAAGGCTGCTATTTGCAGGAGCACGTTGCTCATCGCCAGGTGACAGCCACCAGAACTGCAGGTGCCAGGCCTTCAAGGGAAGACATCAAGGCCTCCAGCACACCTGCTGGCTGAGCTAGCTTAAACTCACGAGGGGCAACTGCCATCAGGTTGTGGCCTTGGAAACCATGTTGAGCTGCAATAGAGAGTGATGTAACCATGCCAAGAAAAGCTCACTGGTCCTTGGCACTTGCCAGTCACTCCTTGGACTGCCTCTCAGGTGCTTCTCTGCCTAACATACTCCTACTCAACCATGAAATCTCAGGCAGAGCTAGTCTTCCTTTTCTGCTGCACTCCCATTTGTATTTGTACAACCTGCCATTTTGCAAGATTGAACCTGTGTGTTCCACCCCTAGACTGTAAGCTCCCCGGAAGAGCATGTTAAAAATGCAGAATCTCAGACCCCTCCCCAGACCTAGAGTCAGAATCTGCATTGTAACAAGATCCTCAGCTGATTCAGGTGCACATTCAGAATTGAAAAGCCCTGATATCAGTGGTAAATAACTCATATAGGTAATGTACTATTATGGAAGATGCAGTCTGGCATTTTTCTATTTTATTCTATTTCATGTTTTATTATTATTATTATTATACCTTAAGTTCTGGGGTACACGTGCAGAATGTGCAGGTTTGTTACATAGGTATACATGTGCCACGGTGGTTTGCTGCACCCATCAACCCGTCATCTACATTAGGTATTTCTCCTAATGCTATCCCTCCCCTAGCCCCCACCCCCCGACGTGCCCCGGAGTGTGACGTACCCCTCCCTGTGTCCATGTGTTCTCATTGTTCAACTCCCACTTATGAGTGTTCAGTTTGGTTTTCTGTTGTTGTGTTAGTTTGCCAAGAATGATGGTTTCCAGCTTCATCCATGTCCTTGCAAAGGTTTGCTGGAGGTCCACTCCAGACCCTGTTTGCCTGAATATCACCAGTAGAGGCTGCAGAACAGCAAAGATTGCTGTCTGTTCCTTCCTCTGGAAGCTTCGTCGAAGAGGGGCACCCACCAGATGCCAGCCGGAGCTCTCCTGTGTGAGGTGTCTGTCGGCCCCTACTGGGAGGTATCTTCCAGTCAGGATCCACGGGGATCAGGGACTCACTTGAGGAGGCAGTGTGTCCCTTATCAGAGCTCGAATGCTGAGCTGGGAGATCTGCTGCTCTCTTCAGAGCTGTCAGACAGGGACGTTTAAGTCAGCTGAAGCTGCGCCCACAACTGCCCCTTCCCTCAGGTACTCTGTCCCAGGGAGATGGGGGTTTTATCTATAAGTCCCTAACTGGGGTTGCTGCCTGTTTTTCAGAGATGCCCTGCCCAGAGAGGAGGAATCTAGAGAGGGAGTCTGGCCGCAGAGGCCTTGCTGAGCTGTGGTGGGCTCCGCCCAGTTTAAACTTCCTGGCAGCTTTGTTTTCTCTGTTTCATGTTTTTAAAATGCTGGTCCTGACCCACTACATTTAAATGACATTAGTTCATTTACTTTTCAGAGCTTGAGCTATGGATTATAAAGCTTCCTTCAACCCTTTTAGTGCTTCTCTGACCTCTCAAATCACCCCTAATGGCAAGAGACAGTAACTGTGTGCCCCCAGGTGCCTGAGGCATAAGGAGCAACTGCTGAAAGTTTGAAAATTTATTTCAGGTGTTTTTTTGTTTTGAAATATCATACAAATTATGCAAACAATTCTTATTTATGATATCTGCTTGCTTTGGTGTAAGAACATGGGTTTTGTGCAAAACTTCAAACACATAAGCACAGAGAAAATAGCAGAGTGAATCCTCTTTCAGTCATCACCTGGCTCTAAAAATTATCAACATTCTGTCATTTGCTTTCATCTTTCTGCTCCTTCTAATACACCAGACACATAGAGATGAAACATATGCACACTTATTTTTACTAGAGTATTTTAAAGCAACTCCTAGACAACATGCCACTTTACCTCAATATTTGCTGATAGGCAAATGCTCTTTTTTCAACCATAACTCAGTATTGTTATCACACCTAGCAAAATTACCAATAAATCTTTAATATCATCTTTTTCCCAATTAGTTTTCAATTTTCCCTAGTTGTCTTGAAAATATCTTTTGATGGCTGGATTGCTTGAATGAGGATCCTAAAAATATCCACATATTTGCATGTGGTTGATATATCCTTTAAGGGAGTTCCCCCCCTTTTCCTCTTTATTTTTAATGTGATTTATTTGTGGAAGAAACTGAGTAATCTTTCCTACATAACTTCTTTTGTTATGTATTTAGCTAATTGCATCCTCATGGTGTCATTTAACATGTTCCTCCATCCTTCATATTTTCTTAACCTGGTAGATAGGGGTCTTGGCAGGTGGTACCTTGTACTTTCTGTTGCATGCCACCAGGATGCACATAATGGGTGCTTATCCCACTTTGTGGGAGTGGAGTTAAGGTTGGCCAGTGTTTAGGAGGGGTTCAGGAGGTGTCAGTCTGATCCATCAATTATAAAGTTCCCATCAACATTTCACCCAATGGTGTTAGTAGCTGCTGAAGAAAGATTGTTTCCTGGGACCATGATCTCACAGGGGTGACAAATGATGATTTGCTAATTGTTATTTCTTTTACTAGCTATTAGATAGATAGATAGATAGATAGATAGATAGATAGATAGATAGATAAACTTTCTCTTGTTAGTTATTTGATTACTCTGAAATACTCCCCCCAAAAACAATATTAATGTTAGAATTCTTTCCCATTATTTACCAGTTTTCAGAATAAATATATCCCTCTCAAGAACCCTCTGAGAGAAATGTTATTTATAGCCCCACTTTATTTTACAGACAGGGAAACTGAGACAGTGAAAGATTACATGAATTTTTCAATATCACAAGGCTATTGGAGGACAGAACAAAAATTCAAGTTTTAGTCGAACTGACTCCAGAGTCTCTTTAGATAACTTTCTCAACCTTCTACTTCATGTGTATAAATATATTAATATGTTAATATAATACAGAATCATGAGCAGGAATTACTTTCTTCCTTAAGAAAAGTTATCCTATTGACTTAGAAATACCTCTTCCCAATGTGATATCACATCATACCTGTTAGAATGGCTATTAACAAAAAACAAAAGGCAATAAGTGTTGGTGAGGATAGACCAACAGTATACACTGTTGATGGGAATGCAAAATGGTGCAGTCTCTATGGAAAATAGTATGGAAAAAAATTTAAAATCAAAATAGAATTACTATATGACTTAGCAATTCCTCTTATAGATATTTATCCAAAAGAGTTGAAATCAGGATCTCGAAAAGATAGGAGCACTCCTGTGTTCACTGCAGCATTATTTATAATAGCCAATATGTGGAAATGATCTAAATGCCCATCAGTGAATGAATGGATAAAGAAAATATGGCATATATATACAATGGAATATTATTCAGCCCTAAAAAAGGAGATTCTACAATATGGAATAACATAAGTGAATCTTGAGGACATTATGCTAAGTGAAATACGCCAGTCGCAGATGGGCAGGTATGGCATGATTCCATGTACATGAAGTATCTAAAGTAGTCAAACTCATTGAAGCAAAAAATAGAATGTTGGTTGTCAGGGGTTGTGGGGGTAAGGGAATTGGATGTTGTTAATCAATGGGTGTGAAATTTCAGTTATGCAAGATGAGTAAGTTCTAGAGATTTACTGTACAACGTTGTGCCTGTAGATAACACCACCATAAAGTACACTTAAAAATCCATTAAGAGGTTTGATCTCATGTTAAGTAATTTTACCACAACAAAATTTTTAAAAGAAGAATAAATACTGTTACGTAAAGGAAAACCTCAGTGGAAGAATAAATGTAAAGAACTATTTTTTTTCATCAAGCTTTGGAAAAGTGTCAAATGCATTGTTACTGATATTAATGGAACATCTGTACTAATGAATCAGGAGGAGTTACCACTACTATCAACTGTAAGCTGATGGCTTTTTCAGATGATATCTGATTAACTGGTATTACATCAACAAACCCCTCCCCCAGACTTCCACATAACAAGCTAAAGATTGTCTGGAGAAGTTACCAACCAGAATTAGCACAGGGATTATCAACTGAAATACAGATAGTTAGAGGCTGAGTAGAGATTAGAAGGTGGTATACAGCCTTCTGTACACACACCACAAATGCCTAGAGTGGTGGCAGATAGTCAATTAGAAAAGAGTTTGCCATGGTTCTTGAGGAGTCAATTCAAAGCTAGTGTCAGGTGCTTCAGAAGAGGTTCTAGGTCATAGAATTAGACAGAGGTCATTGGCAGTCATTTTGTAATTCTTGTAAGCTTACCTGGTATACTGGAGTTTTTTTGTAGACAACTAATAACAAGAAAGATGTGGTGAAGTTGGAGGGAAGCCAGAGGTCAACACAAACAACAAAGGTAAATGGGAATGCTAAAAATGCTCTCTGTTCACAAAAGGGTGAGAAAACACTTTGGATATCTGAGGACTATAAAACCCAAGGATTGGAAGAAACTATGTTAGTTTGGAATACAAAAATACTGCTAGATGCAGAAAAGCGTCTACACTTTGGTTCCTATCTGCATTTCCTTGTGTATTTCCTGGTGCTCCCATTACAGACACTACTCTTTGCCTAGGGAAAGGCTGCTTTCAGTAGTACATAAGCAACATAGGGCAGAGATTTGGTATGCATTGTTCCCTAGTGTATCCCCAGCACTGAGAACAGTGCTAAACCTTAGTAGGAGGAGCTAAATATATTTTTAGTGAATTAATTTAGAGCTTTTCCCTACTTATTTCAAGGTGAAACTTAATCCCATTTCTTCAACAAGTTGTAATTTCTCCATCCAATGTTCTTTATAGCTTTATTGTAGTTTGTACCTTGTTTTAGTTTTTGTCTTTAATACATAGATTTCTTTGCGATTAGATCATGAGCTCTTGCTAGTCTTTGTCAGAACATAATCCAAAGATTTTCTACATCAATTTTACCTATAGCACTTAATTTAAAATGTTGTGTACTAGGCTCCACTCCAGATCTACTAAATCAGAATCTCTGGAGTTGGACCCCAGGAATCAACACATTTTACCAGTTCCCCAGATGATTCAGGTGTACACTGAGGTCTGAAAAGCATGTGGAGACCTTATGCATCTTCCTTTCATTGTGTTTTGAGTTCTCAGTAAACGCTTGTTATGTTAAATGGAATTGAATTGAATGAAGTGATTGCCACAGTGGTGATGCAACTAATTTACTTGTTAATTTTGAAACGCATCACCTTCGCAGAGGAGACAATAGATGGAATTATAGTTACCTGAGTTTCTCAACAGGAAAACAGAAAACACATTTAAAAACAAACAAAAAACCCATGAAAATTATGCATGTCAGTTAATGATTTTAATGTAAATTTCATTGACATGAGCACACATAGAGAAAGCCGTGCAAAATATAAGTATACATTATAATGAATATCTTCAAAATGAACACAACCACGTAACCAGTACCCAGTCAAGAAATAGAACATGACTCATATTCCAGAAGCCCCTTCCTGTCCCTTTCCTGTCACTAGCCTCCTTTCAGGGTAGCTGCTAGCCAAACTTCTAACAACATGGATTTGTTTTACTGTTTGTTTGCTCATATGTATTTCTCTCTCTCTCTCTCTCTCCATATTGTCATAGTTCATCCATTCTCACTGCTGTATAATACTCCATCATGTGAATATAGCACAGTTTGCTTATCCACACTACTATACATGAATATCTGAGTTGTTCTCAGCTTGAGGTTATTATGAAAAGTGCTGCTATTAATATTCTTGGATATTTCTCTTCATGAACACATGTATATTTTTTTGTTGGGTATATATCTAAGAGTGAAATTGCTGCATCACAGGGTATACAAATGTCTGTCCAGCCTGAGTAAATACTGGCCCAATCTTCACACTTCTTTGTATTCATGTCATCATAATGCCTTCCCACACTGGCTCGGGGCTTGGTCATTTGACTTGCTTTGGCCAATGGACAGTGGAAAAGTTGGTACCAGTAGTGCTCCTACAAGCAAGCACTTGCTTTTTTTGCTCTCTCTCTCTCGTCTGTGACTACCCCTCCAGGTGAGCCTGCCGAAGGATTTGAAGGACATGAGGAGAGCTGAGCCATCCTGGACAGGCCATCGCACTAGCCAGCCCCAGCCATTCTGCCAGCTGCACGCGCAAGCCCAGGTAGAATTGACTGAGCTTAACCCAGAGCCGCAGAGCTGCCCACCTGATCTATAAACGTGTATAAAATAATAAATGGTTGCTTTTTTCTTTCTTTTTTTTTTTGATGAAGTCTTGCTCTGCCACCGAGGCTAGAGTGCAGTGTCACAATCTCAGTTCACTGTAACCTTCACCTCCTAGGTTCAAGTAATTCTCCTGCCTCAGCCTCCTGAGTAGCTAGAATTACAGGCACATGCCACCACGCCTGGCTAAATTTTGTATTTTTAGTAGATACGGGGTTTCACTATGTTGGCCAGGCTGGTCTCGAACTCCTGACCTCAGGTGATCCACCCACCTTGGCCTCCCAGAGTGCTGGGATTACAGGCGTGAGCCACAGCGCCCTGCCAAATATTTGCTTTTTTAAGTCACCAAGCTTTAGTGTAGTTTTGCCAAACAGATTCCCAAAGGGTGACACCAACTGACACTCCACAAATGTCTGAAGATCTGAAGTTCCACATCCTCATCAGTACTTGATATCGATTACATTATATGATATTTCACTATTTCTGACCTGCAAAGATTGCAGTTTCATATGGTCCAATAAATTTATTTCATTTTAATTTTTCTTCTAAGTGTGTAATAAAATCAATTGAGGATTTAATTTGCATTTTCTTAATGACGAAGGATGTTGAGCACCCTTTCATTTGTTTATTAGTATATCCTCTTTTTTGAAGTACCTGTTCAAGGTTTTTTTCTATTTTTTTATGGGATTAACTGCCTTTTTTGCCACTAATTTGTAGGAATGAACACACACACACACACACACACACAGAGCCATGCTGGATACAAGCTCTATGTCACCACACATGTGTACAGACGTCTTCTCCCACTCTGGGACTTTTCCTTTCCACTTCCTTAATGGTACATCTTAATAAAGAAAAGTTATTACTTTTAGTATAATTCAATTTACCCATTTTAACCTTTACAGTTGTCAACACTTCTTTGCCTACCCCAAGATCATGTAGCTGTTCTTAAAAGCTTTGTTATTTTGCTTTTCACATTTAGATAAATGATGCACTTGGAATTGATTTTTTATGTATGATATGAGTAGGAGTCAGGATTCATCCTGGTCCCAAGTGGGTACCCAACTGACCTGGATGTTCATTGAAAAGGCAGTGGGTTGCAGAGTTTGGCTTGCATAGCTCTCACTGGGAGGCAGCACGGTGTCATCGGAGGAGTTCCTACTGGGCTCTAGTCCCAACTCTGCTACCAGCTCACTGGTTCTGTGACCCTGGGCAGGTCACCACAGCTGTCTCTGTTTACCCATATGTAAAATGAGGTTAAATTAGATCATCTTCATTGTTCCTTGCAGACGCATAAGATCAGGCAGAAGTGATGTCAGACTCCAAATATGACATGATTACTTCTGGGACCTCAGGGAGAGTATTTAACTTATCAGAGTCCCAATTTCCTTACCTAAAAGATGGGAGCAATTGTGCCCATATCTAGGGCTGCTGAAAAACAAGAAAGAAGATGTACATGAAGTTCTGTACTTGGCACATTATGTTGTTCAACAAAAGGTAACACTTGTGGTTGTTAATAGTCATTCTGGAAATATTAAGGAGAATTTGCCTTTATTTAATTTCAGTAAAAATGTAATTGGTGTCTCTAAACTTAATTACTAATTCAAATTTGTTTATGTTTGCTTGGCATGAAAGTTAAGTAGCCCTGTGAGGAGAACTTTGGTTTTGCCCCAACTTCTTTAGTCCTAAGAGATACTGTCCTGTAAAGAAGGCTAAAAATAAAGACAGAAGTTACACGGATATAAAATCAGCTTTCTCGAAATTGCTAACCATTAACCTTGAATTTAAAAGTTTTTCCTAAACACTTGTAGAACCCAGGAAAGAATGGAATGTCACAATTATACAGCCACGATGATAGTTGTCCGTGATGGATTATTAGTCTGAAATTATTAACTTTCCACAGACAAACCCAGGATTTCCCTGATTTCCTGACCCCCCGCCATTTAAGGTAGTACCCCTCCCTCATTCTTGTCTCACTCTGTTTTTCTTCATAGCAATTACAACTCCCTGACATATTTTCCTGTCTTTTTGTTAATTGTCTGTTTTCCCTTCAACTAGAACGTTAGCTCCATGGGAGCAGGAGCTTTGTTTAATTTACCTTGTATCTCAGCACCTAGAAGAATGCCTGGTACATGGCAGACATTCAGTAAGTATTGTGGAATAAATGAATGAAGGCAAAGTAGGAACCACATAAAATATGTATCAAAAGTAGTAATTATGTTCAATTAGGTCCATGCTACATTTAACATGACATAGAAATCAATAATGTATTTGGACTGCAGCACCTCTGTCAACCCCAAACTCCAATTCTTATAGATGTTCAGTAATAACACTACCACAAAAATATTAGCTCTGTTAATAATCAACACATTTTTCATAAGTGTGCCTTTGGGAACTATGAGAAGGAAATTGATATTTCCCACATATATATGCTGTCATTGTTTTTTTAAAGAGAAACTCTTCAATAAACACAATTACCGAAGGAGAAAATTATTTAAAAAGCTGGGTGTTTTGCAAATAAAAGTAGACATGGAAATCATGTTTTTATTATAAACAAATATTAAGTTTTACGTGTTGACTATTAAAAAGTTATTCAGTTTTTCCTTTACCAAAATAAATTGTTAATTAAGATAGACAAAAACCAGGAAACATTGAAGTTAGTCATTTAATTTCCTCACTTATTCAGAGCTGCCTGGAGTCATTTCCTGCAGGAATTCCATGTCTTCCCATTGAAGTGTTTCAGCAGCTGGTAACAAAATCATCCACACAGGCGGTGGGTGACACTCCAGGCTCCGATTGCAAATCAGGTTTTTATACTCACAATGGAACCAGATCGAGTTTAGAAATAAATCTAAATTCCTTCTAGAATGCTGTTTCTGCATTGCTCTAAGGGGGAATTTGGTCCAGTGGGAGGAATTGTAGACAAGGAAACCTGATTTCTACATTTGGCTCAGCACTAATTGTGTGACCTTAAATTTAACCTCCTGTGCACTAATAGCCTCGTCTATGTAAGGGTAATAACATTTAAATTTTACCTACCAAATTGTTTCTAAGATGGAAGAATCAGCCAAACTCAGCATGCAGCTATTTTTGTAGAAGTGCATGACTCCAATATATACTATTAATTTTTTTATTTTTAATTTTTAATTTTCTTAATATTTTTTGAGATGAAGTTTCACTCTTGTTGCCTAGGCTGGAGTGCAGTGGCACAATCTCAGCTCACTGCAACCTCTGCCTCCCTGGTTCAAGTGATTCTCCTCCTGCCTCAGCCTCCTGAATAGCTGGGATTTACAGGTGTCCACCACCACACCCACTTCACTTCTGTATTTTCAGTAGATACAGGGTTTCACCATGTTGGCCAGGCTGGTCTCAAACTCCTGACCTCAGGTGATCCACCCACCTAGGCCTCCCAAAGTGCTGGGACCACCGTGCCCAGCCCATATAAATTATTAATGACAACAACACTCAAGTCTTAAGAATAGAGACCTTGTCCAATAGTTTTTAGGATAGAGACCTTCATAGGATTAAACCGTGGCCAAAGCAATGCAGTAGATGACCTGGAAATCAGATAAAACTATGTCTTTTGCAGTATCATAAGAAAATTGGTAACTGTTCTTTACAGATCTGAAATGTACAAGCTTTTTTCTCATTCCTAAGTTGCTTATGTGGGAAACAGAAGCCAGTAAGTAGATCACACCATTAATTTTTGGGAAGAATAGCAAGGGATTTGATTAAACACACCCAGTGTAACTATACCGGGGGTGGGGGTGTGGGAGGATGGAACTAAAGTTCTGTAGATTGAGTGTTTGCATGCCCTAAAATTCATATGTTGAAATCCCAACCCGCTATGTGATGCACTGGGAGGTGGGACTCTTGGGAGGTGATCAGGTCACGAGGGGCCAACATGGAGTTAGTGCCCTTATAAAAGAAGCCCCAGAGAGCTCCCTCATGTCTTCCACCACATAAGAACACCATCTATGAACCAGGAAGCAAGCCCTCATTAGACATTGAATCTGCCAATGCCTTCCCAGCCTCCAGAACTGTGAGAAATAAATGTGTGTTGTTTATAAGCCACCCAATTTATAGTATTTTTCTATAGCAGTCCAAATGGACTAAGACAGAAATGTACAACTTTTTCTTGTCCAAACATTTTCTTGATTGGACCAGTCAACCAGATGAGAAAGCTGAGTTGTTTCATATTTTGGCTAGCAATAACTGCACCAGTACTTCTTGATTGGAAAATAATCTACAGGCATGATTACTGAGCATATGATGAATTCTGGGTATATAGAAATGTTTCTCAAATATTGAGGTAGGTTGACTCTCTGTAACACTTTTATTTTAATTTTGTGTTCATTTGAATGGTAAGCTGAACAAATTTTTTTTTCTGAGATGGAATCTCACTCTGTCAACCCAGGCTGGGGTGCAATGGTGCGATCTTGGCTCAATGCAACCTCTGCCTCCCAGGCTCAAGCAATTCTCCTGCCTCAGCCTCCCACGTAGCTGGGACTACAGGTGCCCGCCACCATGCCCGGCTAATTTTTTTTTTTGTATTTTTAGTAGAGATGTGGTTTCACTATGTTGGCCAAGCTGGTCTTGAACTCCTGACCTCATGATCTGCCTGCCTCGGCCTCCCAAAGTGCTGGGATTACAGGCGTGAGCCACCACACCCACCCAGCTGAACAAATTAATAAGTATAGTATAGCATTCATGTTTCGGGTCAGATTTCATGGGTTAAAATTCTTTATGAGCAGCATGGATTTGAGAATGCTATTGAACTCTGAGGCACTGTTTCCTTGTCTATAAAATGATGATGATGGCTCCTTTCTCAGAGAGTTATTGAAAGAATTAAATGAGATAGTCTACATATAGGAAAGCACTTGGCACATAAAAAAGTTTGTAAATAATAGCTGTTAATATTATTATGAGTATTTTCATTTGGATGACCATCTATAACAAAGTATTGCCACAGATTTCATAGCATCTACGTTTAAGGTCACATTGATGCCAAGTGGTATATTATTGTCATAGGTAAATGAGAAAGAAGAGAGGTTGGAACTAACACAGCAGTGATGTACTTGTGCCAGATGAAGTCCAATGACATGATATTTTTTTGAATGAATGATGGTTTCATAAGGTTCAAATAGAGCAAATGGATGGAAAATTGGAATGGTCATATAGAAAACCACAATATGGGCATGATAAATTGTAAACAGCCTGCCTCACAGCAGTCATGACCCTATTCCCGTTCTGAACAGTGATTTAGTTGCAGCAAAATAGCATCTGTCAGATTAAATTAATATTAATTCAAATATGTGGGTTTATTTGCATTTAATTGTAAACTGTTTTCATTTTATAGTTGTATGGAAGCTATAAATGGAAGGAGTTTATGCTTTGTTTTATACTTAAGCATATTTAAGTTGACACTGGGTATGTGCAGATTTCATTTTCTTTAAGGATCTCTACATTACTCAGTTTGGGGAAACATTGGTGTTTGATAGAGTGGGGCTGTGAATAATGTTGGGGGCTGTGCCTAATTACAAGATTCTAACATATTTGCAAGAGCCACTGTGTATGAGGCACTTGTTGGGCACAAACAGTAATAAAATGCAAATCTTGTCTAGTTAGGGAAGATAGGAATGTGTGTGTGTGTGAGAGACAGAGTGTGAAAGAGAAAGAGAGAGAGAGAGACTAACAATATAGGGTGGCAGTAAGTGTGAAATGAACAGTATAAAAAGTATTTTAAGAATTTGAGAGAGGGCCCGCTAGCAGATGGCTGAGATGGTTAGGTATAGTTTTGTGGGGACATAAGATTTGAGCTAGGCCTTCAGTAAGGATGGTAGAAGGTGGATCCATTTCCAGACTCAGGAAATGAATGCATGGAAGTAAGTAATAGTGTAAGCAAAGAAGGCAGTTGTGTTAGTTATATTCAGTAGTGTATTGCCTGATTTAGTGTAAAATACATAAAGTTTTCCTCATATAAACTGTATGTATGTATAAGTATATATACATACATATGTATACATATGTATGTATAAGTATATATACATACATGTATACATATGTATGTATATGTATATATATAAACTATATGTGTGTATACATATATATGTTTATATATGCATACACAGACATATATACATAGTAGTCCCCCCTTATCCATGGGGGATACATTCCAAGACCCTCAGTGGATGCCTGAAACTGCAGATAATACCAAACCCTATATACACTATGTTTTTGCCTATACATACATACCTATAATAAAGTTTAATTTATAAACTTTTTTCCCATACATACATATAGTATGTATGTATTTTTTCCTTTACATTTCTTCCTATACATACATACCTATAATGAAGTTTAATTTATAAACTTTATTTAAACTTTAAATAAAGTTTAATTTATAAACTTTTTATTTATAACAGTTTAATTTATAAACTTTATTTATAACAAAGTTTAATTTATAAACTTTATTTATAGCAAAGTTTAATTTATAAACTTTATTTATAACAAAGTTTAACTTATAAACTTTATTTATAACGAAGTTTAATTTATAAACTTTATTATAGGTATGTATGTATAGGCATAGTAAGAGATTAGAACAATTGTAACAATATACTGTAATAACAAATATGTGAATGTGGTCGCTCTCACTCTCTTTCTCAAAATATCTTATTGTGTTGTACTCACCTATTTTCAGACTGCGGTTGACCACTGGTAACTGAAACAGCAGAAAGCCAAGCTGTGGCTAAGGGGAGCTACTTTATATACATAGCTCCAGTTTCAAGTGACCCCACAGAAGAGTCGAGTGTCTGCCCACTAGCTTAGTAGGCAACTCACACTTTGCTCTTACAGCACCTAGGAGGTGCAATCTACGAGATCTGCCAAGTCACCTGCAAACTTCCTAGTAGCCTGGAATCGTGAGATGTCCCTCATTTTGATTAGTGAATATTGCCACAAATTGGCATTGTAGCTGTTAGGTTGAACTTTTACGTTGGTTCTCAAAGGCCAGTGTTTTAAAAATTACGTAGAAGTGTTTTGTCCCTGAAAGATAATTAGGGATTCTTTACTCTCAGGTTAGTGTAAAAATGGGTAAAATGTCACATGTGTAATGTTTCTCTCCCCTATTTTCATATACCCATGGTGCCTACTGCTGCTAACCTGCTAGTAAATTCCCACAGATAACAAGTGAGCAATGACCCAGTAAACAAATACTAATAGAAATTCATAAAAAGTCAGTCGTATTTGGTTGATGTGTGTGTGCATGTCCATATTAATAATTTCATAATATGGTCATATTTCTTGCAATAACTTTTTCTGTTTATGCCTTGGAATTGAATATATTGGAACTCTGGTGTTCTGGGATGATTGTAGTGTTCTCTGAAAAGAGTATCATTGTTTCCAGAAGACCCTTTGCTTACTCTGAGAACCAGTCTAAGAGACAACCTACCTTGACTTGAAATGGAATGATAAATATATCATTCAAACTTGACTTTTAAGCTTCTTGTTATAGAAGTGTTTACCATGCCAAAACATTTTGCCACATAAATTATGCCCTCATATCAGTTAATGGAGAAACAGCTGGCAGAGTAAACATGGGGAACACCAGCCAATGCAGACAACATTTGTTACTTAACAACAAAAAAATTATAAGCAAAAACATAACCTATACTTAAAACCTAATTGGAGACCGGGTGTGGTGGCTCACACCTGTACCCAGCACTTTGGGAGGCTAAGGTGGGTGGATCACGTGAACCCAGGGGTTTGAGACTAGGCTGGGCAACACAGAAAGACCCTGTCTCTACTAAAAATACAAAAACTAACCAGGCGTGGTGGCACATGCCTGTAGTCCCAGGTACTTGAGAGGCTGAAGCATGAGAATTGCTTGAACTGGGGAGGCAGAGGTTGCAGTGAGCCAGGATCACACCACTGCACTCCAGCCTGGGTAACAGAGTGAGACTGTCTCAAAAAAAAAACAAAAAAAAAAAAACCTAATTGGAGATTGCACTTACGTAGTTGTACCAGACACTATGTAAGTGTCATGCCTCCCCTATGATCTTTGAAATAGAAATATACTCTATACAGTCCCTCAGAAGGTCTTAGGATTGTGTCCAGTTTGCCCACAGAGATATATTTTTATTGCCTTTTTTCTCTCTTCCCTGGTTCACTTCCTCACTGCATTTCCCGGGATCACCTTCCAAACAAACACTCTGCACACAAATCCTTGTCTCAGACTCTGCTTTCGAGAAATTCAAAGCAAGTTATTAGTATACCTAAAAAATATCTCACTGATCCCTGGAGTAGTCCAAGGGAAAATAATAATAGTGAATATGTCCTTATTAAAATAATAATGGCCATCATTATTGAGTGCTTACTATGTGCCAGCCATTGTACTAACACCTCTACTTAGAGTATCTCAGTTGATCCTCATAGTAATCATGTGAATTAGGTGATATTATTTCCACTTTACACACAATAAAACTAAAGCATGGGGAGGTTTGGTCATTTGCTCAAGGTGACAAGTAAATGCCAGGGCTGGGGTTCAAACCCAAATCCTTTGTGCTTTTTTTTTTTTTCACTAGCTCATGCAAGTGTGGTTTTGTCATTTATACCACAATTATGATAATAATATTTTTTAAATGATCAACCCACAAGAAACACCTTTGTAGTAAGTATAGACATAGGAAGAGAAAGAACCCCCTTGTTCTCAACATGTGTCTTTTCAATCTCAGAGAAAATAAATGTAAAGCAGTTATGCAATATTTTTTTTTTGAGACAAGGTCTTGCTCTGTCACTTAAGCTGGAGTGCAGTGGCATGATCATGGTTCACTGCAGCCTCAACTTCCTAGGTTCAAGTGATCCTCCCTCCTCAGCCTCTCGAGTAGCTGGGACTATAGGCACATGCCACCACTCTCAGCTATTTTTTTGTATGTTTAGTAGAGACAGAGTTTTGCCATATTGCCGAGGCTAGTCTCAATTACGTGATTTTTTAAAAATCAAAATTAATCTGGTACAGGTTTTGTTTTTAATCCAAGCCATCTCCATTCTTTACTTTGGAATCATAAAGATTAATCATTAAAGCATTTGCTTTCTTAAGTTTCCAAGTTCTCAAGAACAGGTCTGGAATCCAAGACATTTCTGCGTTGGCTCAGCCTCTGGGCTCATTGGCTCCCTTGCAGTTTTGCCACTGGTCACACTGGTGCTTGTACCCAGCATCCCTAGGACTGAAGTGGAGAAATCAAGAGGGACAAGCTCTGGTCCCCACCCAGCCATGGGAGCAGGAACACACAACCTGCTGGTGCTCCAGCTGCCTTGTTTCCTCCTTCATAAAAAGGGAGTTTTATGAGCTCTAACCATGCTAAACTTCTCTAGAGGTCCCTAAAGGGTTTTCCTTTTCCTTATTGCACAAGTAAGATAGGAACAAATTTTTGTTTGAAGCAATACACAAGTATACAGAATAAAGTATGACGAGTCCCCAGGCCATCAACCCACCACCTTTCCCACTTCCTTCAGCAGAGGTTTCTACTGTTGCTAGGGTGATGTGTATCATTCTAGTATTTTCCCATGCAAGGTGTCATGAATGTTTTTGTGGCATGATGACACAGAGCCCTCGGGATTGGCCGGGTTCCAGAGTATGACCAACATGCATATCTTCTCCACATTCAGGGGAAATGGAGCCTGTAGCAAAAGAGAAAGTGAATTACTAATTGGATTTATGGCCATTACTCCCAGAGCAGCCCTCTGCCCT
This sequence comes from Homo sapiens, assembly GCF_000001405.40. Classification (NCBI taxonomy): domain Eukaryota; kingdom Metazoa; phylum Chordata; class Mammalia; order Primates; family Hominidae; genus Homo; species Homo sapiens. The sequence continues at coordinate 2,951 of NW_014040928.1, read as the reverse complement.
CAGTCATCTCGATAGCAGTTCAGATATAATCTCTCTCTGCAAAAGATCCAGAAGACTCTGTAAGGAGAAAGCTGGTACATCTCCTGTTCACCCAATAAAAAGTCAGATTGTTATTAAACTGTCCTTGAAGCTACTGTGATTTACATTCATGTTAATGGTTCTCTTTGTAGAGCAGTCCCTTTAATGGGGGATGCCCTCCGGTTCCTGTTAGTTGCATTTAAAATAAATATTACACCATCTCCAGCTGTCCAGCTCTCCTTGCATGCTTTGATTTGCCACTGAAAGTATAGAGACCAGATATTTTCCCCTGAGAAATGCTCACACATTCAAGGATCCCAACACATTATTGATGTAGTAAAGAGATAGAGGTAACCCACTTGTCCATCACTGGGAGAATGTGGATGGATATTATGGAATAGGATACAACAATCAGAAGCAATGAACTAGATGGATATAAATAAATGTATGGAGAACTTAAAAGCACTGAGTAAAAAGCAAGAAATAGAATGAAGTGCATAGAACAATGCTATGTATATAATTCACATATGTATACATATGCAAATGTACTCATGCCTATGTAAAATAATGTTATGTACATTTTTCAAGGACATATGTATACCCAAGGACATATACCAAACAGAATAGTGTTATATCTCTGGGGCAGAAAGAAATGAGGATGAAAGAAGAAAGAGAAAAATTATCAACGAACACCGAAGCAGCTCTTACAAGGAATGATGAACTGAAGATGATGCTATGAAAACTTAATGCTTTGTTCCTGAGAGGCAGTGAATAAATACCAAATGAATAAAAGCACAAAGTCACCTTTTACTTTTCTTTCCCTTCAACTTAAATTTCATTACCAATAAGCATTTATAGACCGCTTTCTATCCATGTGACATGATCCCACCTTGAACAAGTCGCTTTACCTCGCTGAGCCTCAGTTCCTTTAATGGTAAAAATAACAAAGGAAAGGAAACATGAACGACATTATTCCCACATCACAATGTTGTAAGTATAATTTCTAAGACTGAAGCAAGGCAACATCTGAGGCCTGGTACACAATGGGCACTGGGCAAGCACACCATTTTATTTTTAAAGTTCTGGGGTACATGTGCAGAATGTGCAGGTTTGTTACATAGGTAAACGTGCGTCATGGTGATTTGCAGCACTTATCAACCCATCACCTAGGTATTAAGCTAAGCATGCATTAGTTATTTATCCTAATGCCCTCCCTCCCTCCACCCCACCCCCTAACAGGCCCCAGTGTGTGTTGTTCCCCTCCCTGTGTCCGTGTGTTCCCATTATTCAGCTTCCACTTATAAGTGAGAACATGCGGTGTTTGGCTTTCTGTTCCTGCATTAGTTTGCTGAGGATAATGGCTTCCTGCTCTATCCACATCCCTGCAGAGGACATGACCTGGTTCCTTTTTATGGCTGCATAGTATTCCATGGTGTATATGTACCACATTTTCTTTATCCAGACTATTATTGATGGGCATTTGGGTTGATTCCATGTCTTTGCTATTGTGAATAGTGCTGCAATGAACATATGCATGCATGTATCTTTGTATTAGAAAGAATTATATTCCTTTGGGTATATACATAGTAATTGAATTGCTGGTATTCAAATGGTATTTCTGGTTCTAAAACTTTGAGGAATTGCCACACCATCTTCCACAATGGTTGAAGTAATCTATATTCCCACCAACAGTGTAAAAGGGTTCCTATTTCTTTGCAACCGAGCCAGCATTGGTTGTTTCATGACCTTTTAATAATCACCATTGTGACTGGTGTCAGATGGTATCTCATTGTGGTTTTGATTTGCATTTCTCTAATGATCAGTGATGGTGAGCTTTATTTAATCTTTGTTGGCAGCATGAATGTTTTCTTTTGAGAAGTGTTTGTTCATGTCCTTTGCCCACTTTTTAATGGGGTTGTTTGGTTTTTTCTTGTAAATTTGTTTAAGTTCCTTGTAGATTCTGGATATTAGACCTCTGTCAGATGGATACATTGCAAACATTTTCTCCCACTCCGTAGGTTGCCTGTTCATTCTGATGATAGTTTCTTTTGCTGAATCACACCATTTTTTCTCACCTATGGAGAATGGGAAAACAATCAGGCCCAAGCAGGGCAAAGTCAATTGCTCCTTGACATTTATTCCTAACTTACCTACAGGGCCACAGGAGGCAAACAACTGTGACTGCCACATGATGTTCAATTATCCTCTGCCCCTGTATGAGAGAGGCGGAGATCTGGCTACAACCATCACCCCATTAATGACCAGCATCAATTTGGCATAACTAACACAGGTGCCCCCTTTCTCTTCCTCCCCTGCAAAGCTGCAAGCTGACTTGCAGGTAACCTACCCAATCTGATGGGCCCATTCTGCAGACTATGAGATAGACTCTTCTAAGATTTGAGGTTCAAGGTCTAACACGTAAAATCAAGGTAGCACTGTCACCCGCAAGGTTCCTGACCACCCCCACACCCAAATTCTCTGTATCCGCCCCAATCCAAAGAATCACTTAAAGCTTTGTTTTATGTGGCTGGAGAGGAAAGGCATGTGCCTCTGCCCTCTCTTTCTTAAACAGTCTATAAAAAGCCTGAGAAAATATTCCTGTTCACAGGCTGAGAAATCCAAGGTTTTCCTTGCAAACAAAAGCCAACAACCATGAAAACAAGCAAAGCAGGAAACTGGACTGGACAAAATGGTGGTCCAATCTCCTTGCTCACTCTGAGCAGATAAAGAGCAAGCTAGGGCTGAGCCTGGCCTCTTCAGAGGAACAAGAGATTCTTGGGCAGCTTCAGGGAAGGAGCACCTGAATGAAGGATGGAAATGAGTGGAGATCTCCCAGGAGGCTGCATCCTGACAATGGCATCATCAGCATAAGCGCAAGAAGCCCATAGAACTCTCTCCAGCCTCAGGGTTGACTTCATGCTAGTAAGTTTTAG